>NC_000015.10:93410975-93562490 GCF_000001405.40 Homo sapiens | reverse complement strand
GACCCTGAGCAAGAAATGGTCAAGGCAACTACTTCCCAGGATCCTTCAAAAGGAGCCAAAGCCCCTATTCCTGGGAGGAGATACCTGTTACTAGGATGACCATGTACTGTATCATCCGAACACTTCTTACCATCTCCTGGAACTCTTTGGAGGGTACAAGCAAGTTTTATTAATAATTGCATCAAGTCAGCAGATATAAATTAAACCTAAAAGAGAAAAACTAAAATGTATGTTCACTCTACCTCTTATCAATGTAGTTTCAAAGATCAGCCTGCAAACCTTTCCTGCTGGGATAAGCACCTTGCATCATATATGCAACAAATGCTATGTGTGTGTGTGTGTGTGTGTGTGTGTGTATATATATATGCACATGTATATATGAGATAGGCAATATGTGTTCAATTTATGTTTATAAATATATGTTCACTGGAGGTAGAAATAAAATATATCAGCCAACTGACAACAGAATCTTTTTTTTTTTTTTTTGAGACAGGGTCTCACTTTGTTGGCCAGGCTGGGGTGCAGTGGTAAGATCACAGTTCAATGCAGCTTCAGCCTCCTAGACTCAAGGCATCCTCCCACATCAACCCCCCAAGTAACAGAATCTTATGTTGATAGTTTTTTCCTCCATAAGTTTGATTTAGTTGACTCTCAAAAGAGAGTTCTTTGACTGAAAGTCAAAGGCACTTAAGTTCCAGGAAGAAATTACCCTAGCAAGTAAATATGTTTTATGCTAGCTCATTCCATTTATCATATCTAAAATTAAATATTAATTGAATAAATAAATGAGATGATCAGTTAATTTCATTAAATACTCATCTGGTTGCCTCTGATGTTCTCCAAATGCTATGTTGAAAAACAGATTGGCAGTGATCGTAATTATAAGCACTTCAGTGTAGGAAAGGGGGAAGAAAATGACCATTTTAATACTTACTACATGCTAGGCAGCATTCAAGACTCTTTTTATATAAGCTCTCAATTTGAATCCTCAAAACAATCCTACTAGAGAGGTGTTGTCATCCTGATCTCACAATTGAGAAAACAAAAGTTCAAGTTAGTTAAGAAATTAAACAGAACAATTGTGTGATTGCAATTCCATGTTTGTAATGTCCATATCCTTGGCTGTTTGATTCCACAACCCTACCCTTTTCCTATTTTTTTTTTTTTTTTTTTTGACAGAGTCTCACTCTGTCACCCAGGCTGGAGTGCAGTAGCACAATCTCGGCTCACTGCAACCTCCGCCTCCCAGGTTCAAGGGATTCTCCTGCCTCAGCCTCCCAAGAAGCTGGGACTACATCTGCCCACCACCACACCCAGCTAATTTTTGTATTTTTAGTAGAGATGGGGTTTCACCATGTTGACTAGGCTGGTCTCAAACTCCTGACCTCAAGTGACCTGCCCACTTAGGCCTCCCAAAGTGCTGAGATTACAGGTGTGAGCTATCACACCCAGCCTCTTTTTCCTTTTCCATAATATTTACAACTATGTATTGATCACCAAAGTTTAAATTCTTTGCATTCCTAGAGAATTAAAAATATTACAAAATAAGTGTATTAATCTATTCTCATGCTATTAATAAAGGCATACCCAAGAATGGGTAATTTATAAAGGAAAGAGGTTTAATGGACTCACAGTTCCATGTGGCTGGGGAGCCCTCACAGTCATGGTAGAAGGAGAAGGAAGAGCGAAGGCATGTCTTACATGGTGGCAGGCAAGAGAGCGTGTCCATGGGAACTGCCCTTTATAAAGCCAGTGGATCTCATGAGACTTATTCTCTATCACAAGAATAGCACAGGAAAAACCTGCCCCCATGATTCAATTACCTCCCACTGGGTCCCTCCCACGACATGTGGGAATTATGGGAGCTACAATTCAAGATGAAATTTGGGTGGGGACACAGCCGAACCATATCAATAGGTAAGAGTATTAAGGTTATAGGAGGATAAAAATCAATTAAAATGCTCTATATAAAAATAAAACAAAAAAACTACTCATTATGTTAGGATCTTTTTTTTTCTTTTTTCTTTTTTTAGACAGGCTGGAGTGCGGTATTACAATCACAGCTCACTGCAGCCTCCACCTTCTGGACTCAAGTGATCATTCCACCTCGACCTCCCCATTAGCTAAGACTATAGACTACATTCATGTGCCACTACGCTGAGCTAATGTTTATATTTCTGTAAAGACAAGGTCTCACCAGTTGCCCAGGCTGGTCTTGAACTCCTGGGCTCAAGCAATCTGCCCGCTGTGGCCTTCCAAAGTACTGGGATTATAGGCATGAGCTACCACCCCCAGCCTACGTTTGGGTCTTAAAAACGCATCTGTCTCAATCTTATTATAGTCTTGTTCATCAAAGAGTATATTAGGTGTGAGTTCCAAGGTGCTTTGCAGTGTCACTCACGTGCCCTGTTCTTTTGAGCGTTCCATCCCTGTGTATCAGATCAATGAGAAGAAATCATTTTCACAGCTCAAGAAATCTACTAATCAGTGAATGATGAGACATGGTCTCAATAGCGTCCCTGTGGATTCCTACAAAAACTTTTAATAAAAGCAGCTAGAATTTAATCCCAGCTCAAAAGCTTTTGTTCTGTGCCCTCAAGAACTTTAAACTTTTTTTTAATTATTTACTATTAGTACTAAATATCAGAGTCTTGAAAATACTAAAACAAATAAAAATTAAAAAACTGTCTTCCTTTCATTGCTTTCCCTTCTCAAATTCCTTTTTCAAATGTGTTTTGAGCTCAGTATTCCTCAGGCACACTTCTTTACAGTTATTGAAATGAGTGTTTCCCTGTGACGATGTTTGGTCATGAATGCCACAAGGCCACTAAGATTTAAGGCATGTTGCCGATTGGAAGTTCCTCTGAGTACCATCGCCCTTTCCTTATCTATTGCAAACCCAGAGTAGGGAGACAGGGAACCAGCAATGTCAGAAGGAGCTGATATTTTGCATGGAGCTAAGGCTTCTGCTCATCATTTCTCCTCTAGGAAGCAGGAAGCCATTGAAATCCATCCCTAATGTATCCCAAATGTCCACTTGCTGAGGGCAGGATTGCACAAGCAACAATCTTTTGCTCGTGAAGCTTAGGGAGCACTGTCCCAGGGTATCAATTGGCCCAAAGCTGGTCTCTTCCTACAGACCATGCGGCAAATCAGAACATAAGAGGACTTGAGGCCCACAGCCCTGAGTTTCAATTCCAGTTCTGTATTTTAGGTCTGTGTTCGTAATTAGTATCATAATTAACTGAGAAGGTTATTTAGATTTATTGAGCCTCTTTTTTGTAAAATGGACTATTCATATACAACTGCAGAAAAACCAAATCCCCCCAAAAAACCCTTGCTACTTAATACAAAAACCTAACTGCAGGCACTTCTACTTTGCGTGGTTGACAGAATAACCCATCACTATCACCACCAAAACAAACACCCCAGATCCGTGGTGGTATTAAAGAGAATGCTGGAATCTCTGCGCAGATGAGCTGCCAAGCCCACTTTGGGATATTAAAGTGTACAGGACTTGAGGACAGCTGAGTGACACTCCTCACAAGGTGACAGCAAGAATTAAATGACTTAGCACAGAGGAAGCTTCTGGCTCACAACCCTTGTCCTTTTCTCAGACCTCTCCTCTGTCTCTCCCTTCCCTCTCATTTCTCATTTTGCTCACTCTGAGGGTCTCTTTGCCTCCCTTTTCTGGGCTCAAATGCCCAAGGAGAATAAAAATGTTCAACCAATTAATTTCTGATTTTCTAATCATCTACTGGACGGTTGGTCTCTTCTTGGAGATGTTGTAAAGACAAATTTATTTCCCCCATCTTCAAAGAAGCCTTGGATTAATTGCAGATCCATAAAGTTTATAAAATTTGCAGAAAAAAGCCTTCATATTTTAAGGAAGCCTATTGGCAGATGAAGAATAATGAACAGTTGTCTATCTCCTCACAGTCTGCAATGAGTGTTCTCATCCTTCTAACCTCCCTAATGTGATTTGATTCTTACAAGTACTCCAGTGATGCAATATTATTGGTGGATCTCAGTCCTAGGTCCTTGCATGCAGCTTTCATTCCACTGCAATTGAAGTGGCATGAGTTTCTAGATATGCTCCACTTTTAGATCATATGCATTAGCCTCTCTAGCTCAATGGAAAACTGGAATAGAGTACAAAATTAGACAAAAACAAAAAACAGGAAGCAAAAGGCTATGCATTTGAAGCGTCTCCATTTGCCTTTCTGAGCCCCACTTGTAAATAGGTCACATTTTCTCCTCTCCCTCCACCTCTGGTATCCTTATGTGTCTGGCAATGCTGGGTCAGTCCACAATGAGTCTAACTGTGGGCATGAACTAGTGAGGCAGTGATTCTGAGAAAGTGCTCCTCCTTGTTAAACCTTCTGGGAAAATACATCAGAATTTCCTGTTTGAGGTCAATGGCTTTATTTCCAAGGCTTTTCTGTCTTCTAGAGGTATAAGTTCACCTTCATCATATGAAATTTGCAATGGTTCCACAGGCATCCACAATAATCAATTCAGGGTTAAGCTCTTGACTGGAGAAACCAAAGAAGCAGGAGGCCCTTTGGTAGTCTCAGAGAGCTCCAGATGTGGTTAGCATAAGAAGGCAAGCAACTAAACATTTGACAGCTGTGCAAAAATCAAAGAACTCTTCTAGATGACAGAGAAGATGCCACAAAGTTTTTAAAATCTCATCTTGCTGGGCTGCTAAAGACAAATTGCAGAATGTATGCCCCTTGTGCCACTTACATCAATGTCTTTGAACTAGTAGTTTTTTCAGCTAACGGAAAATGAAAAGCGGTTACCTGGCTCCATATACAGTTGTGAACTCCTTCCTGACGATGGCCCATTAATTTCAGCATGCTTGGGGTGGCCTTGGCCTTTCCGTCTAAGAGCAGGAAAATGCTGATGAACACTTGCAATGGTCAGTCTGTCCTCTGCCTGAGTAGGCAAAGGCATTAATCCCATCTCAATGGATTTGAAGTCTCTAGAATGGTTCAATGATCTGGTCATGGGAGCCTGAATAAATACAAACATATCCCCAAATGAATTCTTGTTAAGAAACTTTCTTCATCTGAGTTCATCGAAAAATAGGAATGTAAATTAGTACAACCTCTGTGGAAAACAGTATGACAATTTCTCAAATAACTAAAAATAGATCTACCATTTGATCCAGCAATCCCACTACTGGGTATCTACCCAAAGGAAAAGAAATCACTATATAATAAAGATACCTGTACTTGTATGTTTATCACAGCACTATTCACAATAGCAAAGATTTGGAATCAACCTAAGTGTTCATCAACAGATTATTGAATAAAGAAAATGTGATATCTATCTATCTACCTACCTACCTACCTACCTACCTATATACTCTGGAATACTACTCAGCCATAAAAAATAATGAAATTGTATCTTTTACAGCAACATTGATGGAACCGGAGGTCCTTTTCTTCAGTGAAATAACTCAGAAACAGAAAGTCAGATACCACATGTTCTCACTTAGAAGTGGGAGCTAAATAATGTGTACACATGGACCTAGAAAGTAGAAAGATAGGCACTGGAGACTCAGAAAGGTGGGAGGGTGTCAGGGGGGTGGTAGATGAGAAATTGATGGGTACCATATATACTATTCAGGTGATGGTTACACTAAAAGCCCAGATTTCACCAAAATACAATATATCCATGTAGCAAAACTACTTGTACTCTCTAAATCTATAAAAATAAAACAAAAATTAATTCATTAATTTTTTGAAAAGGTTAATAGATAGTAATTCAGGCCATATACTTACATTTTAGGCAAAGCAAAGGATGTTTATGAAAACTGAAAAGAGTTGCTCTACAAACAATTGTCAGGGAGGGAGCCAGGAGGGAAGGGCAGAAAAAGGGGAAAAGAATGACAGATTAAGTGTAATAAATATGCACAGATTAACTTGTCCCTCTAGAACTGTACCTCTCTCTACCCCAGACAACACTGTGACCACCTGCATGCATGCATGACTATGTATATGAGTGTCTGAGTACATCCTATGGGTCTGCATGTAGTGGTATGCATGTGGGATGAGGGAGAACATGTAATAGCACATAAGAGTGGGGTATGTGGGGGTGTGTACAGATGTGCAAGATGTGTATTTATGAAGGATGTAAGGGGTACATGAATAAGGGGTGGAGGCCGTGGCCATGGAGAGAGATTAGAGAGAGAACATGTATGGGGGTATACGGGCTCTGTGTGTAAAATACAGAGGGGGTATATTTATCAGGGTGGTAGATGCAGGTGTATGCACATCAGATGGGAGGTGTGTGCATGGAGCTGTCTATGTGTGCACATGGGGTACATGTATAATGTGAGGATATGTGTTTACGGACTGCATGTGGGTATGGTGTATAAAAGCTGGGAGGAGTGTCTGCACAATCAAAGTGACATGTGAGATTCTCTGAATAGCAAATCAAGCTTTTCCTTTAGCTCAGCGGCTTCAATGCAAGAGTGACTTCTTGCAGAGATGACTTCTTACAGAGAACTTCTTACAGAGATACGAAGCTCTTAGCATTCAATCCCCTGGAGCTTCTGAACCCCAGCTACACGTGGAATTCCACACCTGTGTCTCCTTTGCTGGGACTCAGCGGACTGATTTGCTGTGATGTGTCAGGCTATAGACCTTCATTTCCCCACAGGACTGATTGGGGAAACATATATCTGGGTTAGAATGTCTGCTGATAAATCATCATGATCATCATGATCATCACCGCCACTGTCATCCATCCCACGCACAGCACTTGGCAGTTTTCAAAATACATCCTCATACATCATCTCATTGCACTACTATATAGTAACTAAGCTAACAATGCAGCGTCCTTTTTGAAAGGCTAATTCTATAATATAAAATCCAGCTGGCTGAGAGATTCGTGCTCGTCAAGAAAAGACTGTCCACAATTAGCCTGAGGAGAACTCAAGACCTTCAAATCAAACATACAACCTCCATTTCTTGACCAAAGCTTCAATCTATTCACAGATCTTGTGTGTTTCTCCTCTTGCATGAAAATTTTCAACAGCTTCCATTTCTGTACCTGTTCTATGACCCCACTAAAGTGCAAAATTGCAAATCCATAACACTTCTCCGGATGGCCAAGTAGATAAATATTACTTTTTTGCTGCCAGTTTGAAAACAGACTAAGTTGCCACGCTGCTAATGATAATAATACTACCAACGCCATGCCTCCAGGTTCCTGAATGGAACCCCACAGAGAACAATTTGTTCCATCATTTTTCTCAAGGATATAGCAGAAATGTTCATGGGCATCCACATTTCTCATACTAAACTTCATTCCCAGGAAAGCAAAACTGGAATTACTCAAGAGCAGCAAATAACAGCAGCAATGGGGTAATTTGCATTTAAAGATATTGCCAGTGGACCAAACCTTTGATATTGAAGGCAGGGTTCAGTCTCTTTAGAGAAGGGAGCCAATGGTATCTTATGGTTTCACATGGTATTTTTTTCACGCACACTGTGTCTGGAGTTTGTTCCTTCCGGTGGGTTCAAGGTCTCACTGACTTCAAGAATGGAGCCGCAGACCTTCGCAGTGAGTGTTACAACTCTCAAAGGTGGCACAGACCCAAAGAGTGAAGGGTAGCAAGATTTATTGGAAAGAGCAAAAGAACAAAGCTTCCAAACCGTGGAAAGGGACGCGACCGTGTTGTTGCTGCTGCTGGCTGGGGTGGCCAGCTTTTATTCCCTTATTTGTCCCCACCCATGTCCTGCTGATTGGTCCATTTTACAGAGTGCTGATTGGTCTGTTTTACAGAGTGCTGATTGGTCCATTTTACAAACCTCTAGCTAGCCACAGAGTGCTGATTGCTGCGTTTTTACAGGGCACTGATTGGTGCATTTTACAAACCGCTAGCTAGCCACAGGGCGCTGATTGGTGCGTTTTTACAGAGCACTGATTGGTGCATTTTACAAACCTCTTGTAAGACAAAAAAGTTCTTCAAGTCCTCACCCGACCCAGAAGTCCAGCTGGCTTCACCTCTCAACAGGAGAAAGGAAAGTGTCTGTGAGGGGTGTACACTGCCTCTATTTGTGCAGTGAAGTTTTCTCAGACTGTAGTGGAGTAACAAGGTGGAAGTTTATTCAAACACTCAGATAATTCAGTTCTCATTTTTTATGGTCCAGTGAGGTATGTATCCTTCTGAATGAGGAATAGAGGTGACACGTATCCCCATAACCTGCATCTCAAGTCTTCCATCCAAGTCTTCACTGGAAGGAGAGCAGCTCTGATACCTTGAGCCAAAGGGTTCAGTGTGCAGACCCAATGCAGCCGCTGGCCAGCAAAATGTGGGCAAAAAATTCACCAGAGCCCATACATTCATGCCATCCATACATTCATTCATTCATCCCCTCAGCAAGCCTTTGTTGAGAGCCTGCAATGGCCAAGCGTGGTTCTCAGAGTGGGGAATCCAGAGATGACTCTACAAGACTCTGCACACTCAAGGTCACAGTCTACAGACAATTCCACCAACAATTAACAAGCACAGGTAAATGCTTCAAATGCAGCCGAAGGAGCAAAGTTGGGGGCACTGGGTAGAGCCTTCATGGGGCAGGAAGGGCCAGAGAGCTGAAGGCCCCTTGAAGTTATGACATGTGAGCTGAGTCATGAAAGATGAGCAGGAGCTGTCCTGGCAGATGGTGACAATTCTCCATCTGTAGAGCAAGTGCTTCCAGAATATCTACTTACATGATCACCAGAGCAGGAAGGGGTTACGGAATGTTTGGCCCAATGTTTCACAGAGGAATCATTTAGAGGCCTGGCTTTGCAATGTCTCTTTGTAGACCTCTTAGAAGATGCTACATCAAACCCACACACATCAATGGTGTGCTTTGCTTCTTCTTCCTAGAAAGCAGAGAGCAAATATCGTGGGGGAAATGAGGTGAGATTTAGTCTGCTCTTTGAAAAATAATACTTTTTTTTTTTTGGTCTATTGGTGCCCATCCCAAGGATGTACAGCTGCATAATTCTGTTAGGTTTTCCTGGGAAACAAAATCACCTAAAGTCCCTGTGAAATCTTGCATTGAATTGCATTACATTACTTTCCAAGGGATTAAGCCCCATCCTGTTTACAGGGGCATACATCCTGTCAGTCCTACATTTTGCATCTGTTATTAAATTCACTACCCTGTGCCAGCTACAGTTCTAAACAGACACAGATCTACTTCAGATTTAGTGTGGATGACAGATACGCAGCAGCAAACTGCCATGCAGAGTACAGAAACCCAGAAATACATGGGAATTCCTTGCCTTCATCAGGCCTAATTGGTTATCAAGACATTTACTCATAATGACCATAACATATGAGTACCTCTTAATTCTAAAAGATGGCATCAATGTCAAACTTCCCTGTGCTTGCACCCAGCTAAACCCTTCCACCCATCAAAGGCCAATTTAAATTCTCTTTAACAAGTCCTTTTTTTTTTTTTTTTTTTAACAGAGTCTCACTCTGTCACCCAGGCTGGAGTGTAGCAGTGAGATCTTGGCTCACTGAAACCTCCGCCTCCTGGGTTCAAGCAATTGCCCTGCCTCAGCCTCCCGAGTAGCTGGGACTATAGGTGTGCACCACCATGCCAAGCTAATTTTTGTATTTTTAGTAGAGACAGGGTTTCACCCTGTTGGCTAGGATGGTCTTGATCTCCTGACTTTGTGATCCACCCACCTCGGCCTCCCAAAGTGCTGGGATTTCAGGCATGGACCACCATGACCAGCCCCAACAAGTCCTTAATCTCCTTTTTTCCTAAATGCTCACAACACTGGAAATGTGTCATGCCAAGTCAGCTCTAAATTATATTCTCTACATTACTGTTGCCTATAAGGTGTCACCTTGACCTCACAAATATATTTTAAGCCCCCAAGCAAACAAAAATAAAACTATATTTTATAAAGCATCTGTATATCACATGCTATTAAGAGTTGTTCTTCCTCATTTCTTTTCAAAAATTTTTTATTTTTAATATTTGTGGGTACATAATAGGTGTATATATGTATGGGGTATATGAGATGTTTTGATATAGGAATATAATACATAATAATCACATTATGGAGAACAGGGTATCCATTCCCTCAAGTATTTATGCTTTGTGTTACAAACAAGCTAATTATACTTTTATTTGTTTAAAAATATAAAATTAAATTATTATTGACTATTCTCACCCTGTTGTACTATCAAATACCAGGTCTTATTCATTCTTTCTCACTATTTTTTGTACCTATTAAGCATTTCCACCTTCTGATTTATAATGGCCTATTGCTTTGCTTTGCTTTTTTTTTTTTTTATACTTTAAGTTCTGGGACACATGTGCAGAACGTGCAGGTTTGTTACATAGGTATACACGTGCCATGGTGGTTTGCTGCACCCATCAGCCCATCATCTACATTAGGCATTTCTAATGCTATCCCTCCCCAAACCCCCCAACCCCCAACAGGCCCCAGTGTGTGATGTTCCCCTCCCTGTGTCCATGTATTCTCATTGTTCAACTCCCACTTATGAGTGAGAACAAGGGGTGTTTGGTTTTCTGTTCTTGTGTTACTTTGCTGAGAATGATGGTTTCCAGCTTCATCCATGTCCCTGCAAAGGACATGAACTCATCCTTTTTATGGCTGCATAGTGTTCCATGGTGTACATGTGCCACATTTTCTTTATCTATTCTATCATTGATGGGCATTTGGGTTGGTTCCAAGTCTTTGCTATTGTGAACAGTGCCACAATAAACACACATGCCCTGTTTTTTCTATCTGGCCATTGGAGTTCCCCAGACAGATGTTCAAAGAAAACCATAATCTAAATATGCCTAAAGTTGAAATCATCTTTCAACCCGAAGTCCTCTTTACTGGCTGCCTTATTTCTTTGAAATTCTGACTTTTCTTTCTGTTAGCCTACCCGTGCTGACATAAGTCACATCATTATCTCTCTCTCTCTCCTCCCATCTCTCACATTCATTTCTTCCTTTCCATGATTAATGTCATTACATTGGTTCTGACCCTTGTAATCTCCCATCAAGATAACCGCAGAACCTTCTAATTAATCTATACTTAACCCTTCCCGTCCAAATCCAGTCACTCATACAACTCAGTCATATTAAAATTCATGTACATCGGCTGGCCGCAGTGGCTCACGCCTGTAATCCCAGCAATTTGGGAGGCCAAGGCGTGTGGATCATGAGGTCAGGAGATCAAGACCATCCTGGTTAACACGGTGAAACCCCGTCTCTACTAAAAATACAAAAAAAAAAAAAAAATTAGCCGGGTGTGGTGGCGGACACCAGTAGTCCCAGCTACTTGGGAGGCTGAGGCAGGAGAATGGCATGAACCCGGGAGGCAGAAATTGCAGTGAGCCGAGATCACACCACTGCACTCCAGCCTGGGTAACAGAGCGAGACTCCGTGTCAAAAAAAAAAAAAAATTCATGTACATTACATGAATGATGTCACTCCTATGGCTTCTCACTGTCCACTTCATAAAACACGTAACTGTCTTCATCTGGGGTAAAAAAAAGCCCTGCAAAATCTGGTGACTATTTTTCTAGCCATGTATTTTACTACCTCTCAGCGGAAGTTCCCTTTATTCTAGCACAGCTATTTCTGCTGCCTGAAACTTCCCAAAGCCACACCTTAGCCCTGGCTACTACTTTTACATTTTAAAACTTTTTTCCAACTCTCATAATCTGGCTCTGTCTTCAAGGTGTATTCAACATGCTACATAATCTATGAACTCTTCCTAAATGAACTGCGTCAGGAATTAGGCATTGTGTTCTTTTCTGAGGGCATTTATAATTCAATGTGATTTTATAATGCACCCAATGCATTAAGGTACTGTGCTAGATATTGGAGGATTCATCTAGAAAGCTCAGTTTCCATGCAGTTAGAGTTCTAAAGCATATATTAATCAATTAATGTCATTAAAAATGTCCTTGATGTGAAGAAAGTCATGGCTCTTTACACTGAAAAGCACAATGAATAATAAGTAAACAGATTTATAAGTAGCTCACATGAAAAACATCCTAGTAAAACTTTGGAATTCCATGGGTAACAATAAAAGCATACAATTTTCAAAGATAAACAGAAGCCCCTTCAAAAGAAATCAATTTACACTTGGCTTTCCATCAACATCACTAGACAATTACTACAAATATATTTGAAGTTTCAAGGGTAAATTGTTGGACCCATGAATTCTATATGAAAACTACCATGTACGTGAAAGATTTTTAAAAAGAAAATAGGGCCAGGCACGGTGGCTCATGCCTGTAATCCCAGCCCTTTGGGAGGCGGAGGCGGAGGATCACAAGGTCAGGAGATCGAGACCATCCTGGCCAACAGGGTGAAACCCCATCTCTACTACAAATACAAAAATTAGCCAGGTGTGGTGGCACACGCCTGTAGTCCCAGCTACTTGGGAGGCTGAGGCAGGAGAACTGCTTGAACCTGGGAGGCAGAGACTGCAGTGAGCCAAGATCGTGCCACTGCGCTCCAGCCTGGCAACAGAGCAAGACTCCATCTCAAAAAAAGAAAAAAAAAAAAAAAAGAAAAGAAAATATATTTTGGTCATACAAGAACGTAGATGGCTTATCAAACCAGACCTTCTCTGAATCACTCAGTGATACCTACAGAAATATAAAAAATTAATCACAGAATACAGATGATGAATACTCACAAAAAGTAATGATGGTTATTTCTAAACAATAGTTAATACATTCTCTTTAACAATTGATGAAAATATTTTTCACAACATGTTAGTGAGAACAAAAGAGATGGTATTTTAAAATTATTTCGGTGGTTTAACAGAAGTACAATGACTAAATGATTATAGAAAAATATGAGTTTTTAACTGTGCATTGTGCATTTAAACACAGTACCAAAAATAGATATTGAATCATAATTTCAAGCTAGAAGAGAAAGTTGGAACTAAGAAAACTCATTCAACTTCAACACACAAACACACACACAAAGACCAATAAATATGAGAAAAGAAAATAAGAAAGCATTGCACAGACCAAGCATAAAATTTGAGGTCAGGAATAATAAATATAAATGGTTTAAACTTTCTTATTAACAATGAACTATCAGAAAATGTTTTAAAAGGGTTAAATTAAAATACAGTTCTATGATCTTAATGGGAGACATATCTAAAAGAGAATAACATACAAAAATTAAAATTATAAAGATGGAAGAAGATGAACCAAGCAAATTGAAAAACTGAACAAAAGGAAAATAGAAATGGCAAAACTTAATGTAGAGCCAAAATGGTATAAAGTCAAAAGCAAAATCTGGAGCAAAGAGATGTTTTGTAATGATAAAGTGTAAAACCCAAAACAATGTTATAATATCCTTGAACTTCATGTAATTAGCAATACAAAATCAAAATATTTAAGGTAAAAATTTTGAAGTGAAAGAGAAACTGAAAAATCTAGATTTGAAAATTCTTCCCTCTGTAAAAATAAATTTAAAAATATATAAATATAAGAAAGTTTAATTTCTTAGAACATATTTCTTTCTCTTTTTAGATTTGTGTAAATTTAAGTAGCACAAGTGCAATTTTGTTACATGGATGTATTGTGTAGTGGTCTAGGCTTTTAGTGTATCCATCACCCAAATAATGTACATTGTACCCATTAACTAATTTCTCATCATCCAGCTCTTCCTGCCACCCCTGTACCCTTCTGAGTCTCCAATGTCTATCATTCCACGCTCTATATCCATGTGTACACATTATTTAGCTCCCACTTTTTCTTTTTTTTTCTTTTTTTTTTTTTCTTTTTTGAGATGGAGTCTCACTGTGTTGCCCAGGCTGGAGTGCAGAGGCGCGATCTCGGCTCACTGCAAACTCCGCCTCCCGGGTTCACGCCATTCTCCTGCCTCAGCCTCCTGAGTAGCTGGGACTACAGGCGCCCGCCACCACGCCCGGCTAGTTTTTCTGTATTTTTAGTAGAGATGGGGTTTCACCGTGTTAGCCAGGATGGTCTTGATCTCCTGACCGCGTGATCCACCCACCTCAGCCTCCCAAAGTGCTGGGATTACAGGCGTGAGCCACCGCACCTGGCCATTTAGCTCCCACTTTTAAGTGAGAATCTACGGTATTTGATTTTCTGTTTCTGAGCTGTTTTACTTAAGGTAACATCCTCCAGTTCCATCCATGTTGCTGCAAGACATGATTTCATTCTTTTCATGGCTCAGATGTACTTCATTATTCATATATAGCATATTTTCTTTATGCTATATGTCATCAAGAAGTATGATCTAAATGTGTGCATGTGTGTGTGTATATAGATATATATATATGAGAGGGAAAAATGTTTATAAAACTTTTGACATAATAAATAAAACTGCTGGCTTTACCACACATGGACATTCCCAACTTCTGATAATTAGGTCCCAAAGAAGAGTCTCAAAAATCCCAAAGGGCTACATTCACTGGATCCAAAGTTAATAACAATAAAGGGATAACCAAAAATGCATCAAGTCATTTAAAAATTAGAAACAGACAAAGAAAGAAAACATATAATAAGCCTTTTGGTAAAAACAGGAAAACAGGAATAAAATGACATTCTTAGAAATAAATGACTATGAAGGCAGTGCATTTAGAAACCTATCGGATGTGGCCAAAGTGTTATTCAGAGTAACTATGTTAGAGTACACACATCATATGTGTGCTCTGTCGTGGATCTTACAACAAAAAAAAAAACACAGTAATTATTATAACCTTGAACTAATTGTCAAAAAACAAGTAAGATTAAAATAAGAATTACATATTCAACAAAAGCAGCTAGAAAAATGAACAGTAAGTTGAACCTAAGGATAGTAAAAGAAATAAATTAATAATTATTAAAATTTAGTTCTAATTAAATAGGAAACAAAAACACTTGTTTACTAAAACTAAGAGCTTCTTCTTTGGAAAAATCCTCCCTTTTGCCTCAAAATGAATAAATCTTTGGCACATATGTTAAGTAAAAAAGAGAAGATACAAAGAAATTAAACATGAAAACATAAATATGAAAAATCTGAAGATTTTTTAAAATATGAAAAATAGCAAGTACAATATTTCAACAATAAATTTAAAATTTAAATAAAACCAGCTAAACAAAAATAGGACATGTAATAAGAAAAGGAAGCCTCAAAGAAGTTCAAAGAATAGACATCACACATATTATGTTCTCTGATTTTATTCAATAAATTAAAAATAAGTAACAAATAGAATGTTAATACAAATGCTACATTACAAATACATGGGACAGAGCTAAAGCAAAATTACAGGGAAATTGTGTAGATATTACAAACTCCAAACTGGTATCTAAAAGAGAACTGGAAAAATTCAGCAACCTCATGTTTCTAAAGACCTTAGAAAGATATAGATTCTCCAAACATTAATTCCTAAATATAAAGCAATTCCAATCATGGTCCTCAAAGGATTTTTTATGTAACTTGAGATAATTATTCTAATTTTATCAATATACAACTATCTTCCCAATATTTTTAAGTGATGAGAAGGATCCTTTCTACCAGATGTCAAAAAGTACTGAGAAGTCTTATAGTTGAAATAATGTTGGATAGGTTTATCTATAAATGGAGAGAGGAGTGTTGCAGTTTGAAACATAAAAGTCTATACCATAGTCATTGGTGCTGTCCAACAAATATTTCTATTATTCCTCTTCTGTATGGGGCACCAGTGCATTGCCCCACCTGCCTTAAGGTTAGGTGTGATCACATGACTTACTTTTGCCAGTGAAATGTTAATACAAGGGACCTGTGTAATTTCCAGATAAGAAGCTTTAAGACTCCAGGCATCATGCACCATGTTCTCTGTCTGTCTCATCTAGTGACTGTCATTGACAGCCCTGACACCCTGGGTACCTCAGCAAGAATGGTGCTGAGCTCCCAGACAACCCACAATGGATGTGTAACATGAGAGACAAATAAACCTTTTACCCTGTATGTCATTAAGCCAGGTTATTACTGTGACATAATTTGGTCTAGACTGAGAAATAAAGTGGATTCTCACCAGTTATCTTTAAAATTCCATATTCTCTTATGTGCTTGAATATTTCAGAAAAAATGCCTTTATGCACTCCTTCTTTTAAAAAGTCCTTATTAAAGGTTAGTTAAGGGCAAAAAAAGATAACAGGTGGAGAGTACTTGCATGTTACTATAATAATTCCATCTTCTGAGTTTAATTTTTCACAAGGTAGTTTATAATAAAACAGTGCTTTACAGAAATAAAGGATGCTGATAATCTGAGCGATTGAGAGAATAACTTCCTAAGAATCTCTTCTTAAAATAAGCAATAATCCTATTTCCCACCCAAACTCTTTAATTTCTGTGGATTTTAATAGGTGAATATTAGCTGCCCAGAAATGGGATAAAGGATATCAAACACACAGAACTGCTCTTTCCCCCGTGGTGCCTCCAATAGGCAATGGGAACAATTATGAACAACCACTCCCCACCTTTGCTAAGCTCTCATCTCCAGAGCAGAAAGTCAAAGGGTCAAAGGCAATGGGTTGATAATCATGGCCAATTATCCATGGAAAATACACGAGAAAAATGGCCCACAATGGACCTGACCTCTGACCATTTGCTGAAACTTTGATTAACAGAATTCTGAACATGTGTAACAGAAATCAAGGAAGTTTTTCTTTTCAGCACTAATCTCATTGGGAAACTACAAACAAACCAAGACCCCATGATTTGCACAGTGGATCTGGTTATCTTAAAACAAAATTTCTCCTTCTTGTAACTCTCATGAGACTTGTTCTTTACTTTGTCAATATTCATATCTCAAGGCTATAGGTCCCAAACCAATTTGTTTGCAGTCCAGTTAGGCGGTCATTACAATATAACTGAATGAGCCATAACACATTGATAGGAAATTTTATGACGTTCAGATATTGCTGCAACACATAGATCAACTGAAGGTAAATTCCACTCAATTGCTAAAATGGGCAAAGAAATCTAACGCACTTAATCGTGGCCCATTTATTTAGGTACAGTGACAAGACTGTTAGCTAGTCAAGCTCTCAGCACATGGCATAAGGATGGGGAGGAAGTTGGAGCTGTCTAATCAGCATTCACATTCTGACTCAAGCATTTTTTGAGTTGTAAATCACTATATAAAATTTGTAGTTGTTACTGTTACTGTACAATAATCATCCGGAGTTTCAACTGTGAGAAATGGAAAACCAGGCTTGACAATTTCTTTAGGAGAATTCTCTAAGATTCTCTAAACAAGACAGTAAGACCATTTACAAGATTATTTCAGAAAAATTGGTTCCCTTTATTTATTTATCAGAGTTGATTCTAAAGCTGACATCATTTCTCTTTAGCCAGTCACCATGATTTCTTCTCAGTTAATTAAGATAAGTTACCTCAAAAGCCTAGAGGGCAGCAAAAGTGCCCATGGCACAGGCACTAAACAAGATTAGAAAAATGAGTGTTCAGATGGCCATTTAATACTGAAGTTACGCTACAAAGAAAATGTTTTTGATTCCCAAGTGATATTACACGGATGTCTACATGGATAATAGATGGGGTAAAGAATGCAGAAGGGACTACAATTAATGAAGTGGTTATCACAGAGACCCAGCTCTTTGACATTGCATCTGATCTTTCATTGTGGCCAATGAGACTAAGGCAATGGGGGTGGAGTGGAAACAGAGGGGACTAGGAGTCAGAGTCTGCACTCGAGACCCTGAGCAAGACAGTTTACCCTCTTTATGCCTTGGTGCCTACCTATGAGATACAACACAACCTTGATGATAAGAGTAGTTATGTGGATTAAACAAGATAACATGCAAAATCTTTTATCAACTGCATAGCACTCTCCAAATGATCATTTTTAGAAGTCATGCAATTTGCAACAAGGATCCAGTGAAACCTATGATGCAAATGTGAATCCTAATACGAAGATCTACTCTGCACCCTAGACAAAGCTAAGTTACTCAACCATTCAGTAACAGCGGATGACTGAGAAAAAAACAAACTGAGTCCACTAAAAGCTGATGTAGGCACTCAGGCCGCACTGTGCATGGGAAACAGCAAGCTCTGTTTTGCCTCTTGAAGTCAGAGCTGAATCCAACAGAGGCCTGCCTTCCCTCTGTGAGCGCCAAGGTGCCCCAGCCCTCAAGGGCAGTTTTTGGCCCCACTGGTTCTTATTGATTCTTTCCTAGTTCAAATTCATGTCTCTCATGTTTTCCTATTTCACGTCTTACTGCTTTTGTGAATGATTTGGTTGGTAAATTATTCAGTAAAGCAACCATAAATTATTCTATTTTATCAGTCTTACAACCACTGAAGGAAACTGTTCAAAGCATTTCTCTTGGCACCTGCTTGCTCTATACTTGCAGCCGTCTACCACCAAGCACAACCTTGCTATGGGTCATCAGTACAGTATATCTCCGAGATCTGTTCAGCTTCAGCCAGTTCCCACTGTGATATGAACCTCCAAAAAATGGCCATGTTTGCAATAAGTGCCTTCCTTGGATGATAAACATATACTAGGGATGTCACCTTAGCAAGTCATTTAAACTTTCTTTGCCTCAGTTTCCTTCTCTTTAACATAAGAATAATAATAACATCTATCTCATAGAAATGTCAGGAGGATTAAATTATAATGATATTATAAAGGGCTTAGAAGCCGGGCACAGTGGCTCACGCCTGTAATCCCAGCACTTTGGGAGGCTGAGGCGGGCAGATCACGTGGTCAAGAGATTGAGACCATCTTGGCCAAATGGTGAAACCTGTCTCTACTAAAAATACATAAAATTAGCTGGGCGTGGTGGCACACACCTGTAGTCCCAGCTACTTGGGAGGCTGAGGCAGGAGAATTGCTTGAACCCGAGAGGCAAAGGTTGCAGTGAGCTGAGATTGCATTCCAGCCTAGCAACAGAGCGAGCCTCCATCAAAAAAACAAAAAAAAAAGCTCTTAGAAGACTGTCTAGTGTGGTGAGAGCTATATCAGTGTGTAAAAAAGTGCATTATTTGTGGGGACAACCAATTATGAGCCTAGAATAACAAACTTTTAGGTGAAGATGAATATAAATTATATTTATATTGTTAAACAATATTACAAGAGTGATTGTACCTCTTCTGGATATATTTTTCCGGCAAGGCAAAAACATGCCTGCCTCTGGTATTCTCAATCCTTATTAATGACGTCACAATCTGCCCAGTTATCCCAGTTGGAATTCCAAGTCATTCTCAACAACTGTTCCTTCCTTATGTACATCTCAGTTGTTATTTCAAGTGCTATCAGATGGCACTTGTCACTTCTACCTAAAAAAAGTCTCAAATTCTCTCTACTGAGTTCACCATTTTGAATAGGAATAGCAGGTGGTATACAAAACGGGTACTGGTCCTGTGGGGGAAGTGACAAAACCTTGGAGGTATTTATCAGCAGCACTGGAAACAAGAGGGTGGACAGAGGTTAAACATCTGGTCCAAAAGTCAAGGTTGGGATATGGAGATCTGCTGAAAATGAATGACTAAAGCAGTAGCCTCATGTCAAGAGAACATCAGTAGTAACAAAAGTCAGCAAACAAAGGCTCAATGGAGTAAACACTCCCATTTATTTAGTAATCACCATGTGTCAGACACTGTTCTTAGTGCTTTTGATGTATAGTTTCATTTACCTCTCATATCCACAGAGAGTAGTTGATGTTATTACTCTTATTTTTCAAATTAAGAAACTTAAGCATAGAGAGGTTTGGTATCTTGGCCAAGGTCTTATGGCCAATAAATGGTCACAATGGGTTTTGAATCCAGGCCTTTCTGGGTCCAAAGTCATAAGCCTTCATAATTATGTTCTATCTCCCCAAAAATAAAACCAACAGATGTGATCATGGAAATGGGTCTCGAAAATAGGCTAATTCTTCAATGTCAGATGTCAACACGCTTTTTCATTAAAGGGCCAGATAGTAACTATCTCAAGCTTTGCAGGTGATGTGATTTCTGTCACAATTACAGCCACTCAACTCTTTATAGCACAAAAAGAGTCACAGAAAATATGTCAGGAATGGATGTGACTACATTCCAATAAAACTTCATTTATTAAAACAGGTGATGAGTCAGATTTGGCTGACAGGTAACAATTTGCCAACCACTGTTCTAAACGGTGTCTTTAAACCAGGCTTGTTTTCCTCTGACCACGTGTACATATATCTACTTTTATACAATTCAAAAAAATGTCACCTTATGGTGATTAGCAGTGCCAGATGATATGTGTTGGATAGATATTAAATAGTAAGATGGATGTAGGAAAATTTAGATTAATAGTAATTGTTTCTGCCCTTCCTCCATCTCATCCCCTCCAAACTAAATGAGCAAAATAAACTACATAAGTATCATCAAAAATGTGCACAGTTTCCCAGGGAAATAAATTCTGCATTTTAAAATGTAATGTGATATAAAGTAAAGAAAGAGCACTGTAACAGGAGTCCAATGACCGAAAAAGCAGAGTTCCTGTCTTAGCTCTGCCAGTAACCAGCTGTGACTCCACGAGTGCCTTCTCCCTTTGGGTCTCCATTGCCCCATGTGCAAGTGGTGAAGGGAAAGGCTAGACTGGATTTAAGACTGTCCTCTGGAGGACGTGCCCCCAACCACATGCCCCCGCACTTTATAGCTTGATCCGTCCCGAGCAAGTGGTTCCCACAAACACTTACTTGCCTGTGAGTAGAGTCAGTTCCAGGTCAGGAGATTGAAGCATACGTTTTGGTCAAGAGAAGGTGGGAGAGGGAAGAATTACATGTGCCTGCTCCCATCACTGAGTGCCCTGGGTGTTCACAAAACGCTCCAGCATCATTCTCATCACAGCCCCAAGAGCCCTGATCATGGTGTTTTTCTCAAATGGGAACTATAATTGACAAAGTTTGTAAATCAGTCAGAGGCATGGCCCAGTTGGTGGTTTTGCTCAGACACAGTTTTTAGCCCATCAAATGAAGATAATAATATCTACATCGGTAATTTGTCACAAGAATCAAAGATAACATATTACATACCGAGATGGCTCCTAGCACATGCTAAGTGCTCAGTGAAGGTACTTTCATTTTATTATTGTCAATTTTATTTTAATTACTAATTATATCACCTATTATATAGTCCCACAGCATGATCTCTGTAGTAGACACTACATCAACGGCCCAGCATAGGAATTCAAATGAGGTCATCATTTGACTGTATTTTTTATTCACTATTCCAAAGGAAGCTCTAAATGTATGTGTTAGCTATTAGTGTGACGGTTATAACACAAATACAAATGTTATAAGTTAATGTTTACTTTATTCCATAGAATTCCAGAGGTTTAATGGCAGTGGGGGAGGGGGTGCTTCCCAAAGAGAAAAGCACTGTCAGGGGATTGGACTCCAGTCCTCTGAGTGGAGCACGTCTGTGGCAGGATCTGGAGCTTCTTGAAGGCAGCAGAGGAAGATGCATGGGGCCAGTGACGGGACAAGAGGCTGTGCAAGGTAGGAAGCGCTAACAACAATCTACATATCTTCAGTAAAGCTGTTGAATCCACAAAACCTTATTTGTGAATAGATTCCTTCAGGAAAAATAGAGAAGAGACTGAGATCTATGTTTTGAACTGCATGGGGACAAATAGAGGTGTCACATAAAGTCTCTCTCTTAAAATTATAACCTGTGGTAGAACCAGAACAGGAATCTCAGTTTTTCACTCATGTTAGTATATCACCCTGACTTCCCAAGATATTCGAACGGGATCATCTTGAAAACTGTTCTATTTTTTTACCTTAAGTTGCAGATTAACTCCTTCAAAGCAAGAAAAACGTAAGGAAAGATGAGTGGGAATTCAGAAAAAAGAAAATGGGTGAAGTCTTTGAAATTGGCCAAGCAGAGAAAATTGGACATTTGAGCTAAACTCACCAAAATCTTCAGGATACAGAGTGGCTCCAATAGTATCAGAATTACATTTGGAGCTTTTCCAGTAATTCTGAACCGAGACATACTACCAGGCTACTACCCAAGAGTAAATCCTCAGCCCAGAACTGAGCCAAGAGTGTACCCTTGTTACAGCTGCCCAACAGCACAGGACAGGCTGATCATTTGTGGCCGGTGCTGGCCCTCGAAATTCCTTTTCATGCTTAGTGGAAATCATGGAAACAACACTAAGATTAGCATTATGGTCTTTAGAGATGCACTATTTGAAACTGGAGAAATCAGAGGGAGATCAAACACGTGCATCATTAGTACTATAAAGAAGTCTGGGGAACTCTGGCAGAATGGCCAGCTCAGGAGGCTCTTGGAAGTTAGTGACTAAAGCAACCTCTAGATGGGAGGTCCGTGAACCATTAAGTCAACCTTTAAAAAATGATAAAGAAGAAGGACCTGGCTGACTAGATATCAAGACAGGTTGTAAAACTATCATAATAAAAAATTAATAAAAACATCATGAAACTGGTGCAAGACCCATGCCAATGAAACAAAATGAATAGATCTATGAATAAAATGGAACATAAAGATAACATAAAGAAGTCTCTACAGATCCATAGGAAAATGACGGACCATTTCGAAGATGGTTTGGGGAAAGCTAGCTCCCAATATAGAGAAAAATAAAATTTAATTCCTCCTATACCTCATTAAATGGTGGACTCCAGATGAATTAAAGATCTAAATGTGAAGATAATTAGTAGGAAAAAATGTGGGAGAATATCTTTGTGACCTCAGAGCAGGGAAATGCATTTGTAAACAAGAGTTCAAATGCACAAAACTGAAGACAAAATTCGTAAGTGTCATTACATCAAAACTAAGGAGAACAGCATGGACAAAATAAATAGAAATATCCATAATACACAAAAAATGCCTAAAAATCAATAGGAAAAAGATAGCAACCCCAATAGAAAAATGGGCAAAGAATACAAACATGCAATTTGAAGAGGAAAATAAATGCAAAAGACTACCTAAGCACTGAAAGAGATGCTCAAAATCATTAGTGATTACAGTAATAGAGACATGCACATTCAAACAGTACTGTGATATCACTTACACCTATTAGAATATCAAAAATTAGAAAGCTAGGCTGGGCACAGTGGTTCACACCCACAATCTCAACACTTTGGGAGGGTAAGGCAGGAGGACTGCTTGAGGTCAGGAGTTCAAGAAAAGCCTGGACAACAGAGCAAGACCCCATCTCTGCAAAAAAATAAAATAAAAATATATCAGCTTGGTGAAATGGTGCACACCTGTAGTCTTAGCTACTTTGGAAGCTAAGGCAAGAGAATCCCTGGAGCCCACAAGTTTGAGACTGCAGTGAGCTAGAACTGCACCAGTGCATTCCACCCTGGGCAACAGAGTGAGACTTTATGTCTAAAAAAAAAAAGAGAGAGAGAAAGAAGAAAGAATTAAAAGGAAAAAAGAAAAAGAAAGATGGAAAATGTCAAGTACATGATGTAGAATCCCATACATGGCAGGTGTGAGCTTGAGCTGGTGTAGCCACTATGGAGAGCCAACTAGCATTGCTCTTGGTCACACTGAGAATGTGCATATAGAATGACTGAGTAATTCACCTGTGGGTATATTCTCCAAGAAATTTCCTCATAGGTTCATAAGGGGATAAAACACTGATGTTCAATGCAGTACTATCTGTGGAGGTAGAAATAGGAGGCAACTGGGATGTCTGAAACTGAGAGAGTGAATTGGGATATGTGGTGGATGTATCTGAGTGTTACACAGCAATTAAAAGCAATGGATTAGACAGTAACATAAGTGAATCCTAAATATGGAGTGCTTAGTGAAAAAAAGTGACAGAAAGAGATATACAGCACAAATCAATTTACACCGATTAAACATTCATACAAACCATGTCATTATGGGATTAGAAATTAAAATAACGATGAGATACTGCTACATGTTTATTGGAATGGCTAAAATCTAAAAACTAACAATACCAGTTGCAGAAATGGATGCAAAACAAAAGGAATTCTCATTCATTGTGAATAGGAATACGAAATGGTACAGCCACTTTAGAAGACAGATTACCAGTTTCTTACAAAGCTAAACACATTCTTACCACATGATACAACATTCACACTCCTAGGTATTTATCTAACTTCTTTGAAAACTTACAACTGCACACAAAAAATTCACATGAATGTTTATAGCAGCTTTATTCACAGTCACCAAAAGCTGGAAGCACAAGGTATCCTCCAATACATGCATGGATAAAGAAACTAGCACATCCACACACTAGAATATTATTCAATGATAAAAAAAAAAATGAGTATCAAGCCTTGGAAAGACATGGATGAATTTTAGATTTTAAATGCACATTGCTAAGTGAAAGAAGTCAGTCTGAAAAGGCTACATACTGTATAATTCTAATTATATGGTACTCTGGAAAAGGCAAAACGATAGAGATGGTAAAAATATCAATAATTGCCAGGTGGATCAGGGGGTTGGGGAAGGTAGGAATAGGTGAATCACAGAAGATTTTTTAGGGCAGTGAAACTATTGCCCTAAAAACACTACAGTGGATAAAAGACACTACACATTTGTATAGAACTTTACAGCACAAAGAGAGAACCTTAATGTTTACAAATCAGGAAAATGCTTTAGTACATCATGGCATCCCAGGATAGAATGCACACTGTGACAAAGAATGCTAACCATGTTATGAGACGATTAAAGAATCTCCCTGAAGGGATCGGGAGAAAAAGGTACTGACCTAAGTAACTTTGGAAATGAAGCCTGCAAGGTTAACGGCAAAAAGGAACCGTATATGAACACTGTACTCTAGTTGATAAAGTTGTTTTCCATGGGAGTGCTTATTAATAATTGTGATACTGCAATACAGGTATATTGGAATAGGACAGTTAAATAAGTAAAGAGTAGATGGTAGAGGCCAGGTTTCTCATCATTAAGTGGGAGGTTATAGACAAGAGAAGGCAACCTGAATGATCCATATAATAGCAGATTGTAGTTGGAGACATCAGTTGAGTAGAGCACATATTGAGGTTAATAGAGATATAGATGGTTACATATACATAATATATATAACGTTTATATTTACATATTTACAAAAATATTAAATGTGTGTAAATCCATACACATATGTATTTCCTTGCTTTGCCAACTGAGAGGGCCTAGAAGGAACAACAGCCCAGGAACAACACATACACATAGGGCCAAGATTTTGGTTTTTAATACTATTCTCAATTTAAAACAAAACAAAACAAAACAGGAATCCGTATAAAAACGGCTGATTCTAGGATAGGAGCAGGGAATCTACAAAATGAACTTGGAGCATCTTGTAGTTCCAGAAGGAAGGAAGTGTTAAAGAGACAGACAGGGAGAAAGAAAGAGAGAGAGAGAGAGAGATGGTGGTATATTAAAAGGACAAGAAGCCAGCTGAAAGCATTCCCAGAGGCCAAAGCTGAAACAATTTGAGAAATAAGATAAAGTGGTATTGGATTATTACTCAGGTACAATACAAATATCCATGTTATAAATAAATGATTAAACAAATAAATAAAGGTGAGGAGAAGAGACAAATCTCTCCTGAAAAGAATTCCAAATAATTTTGTAGCTACTCCACCCTCAAGGAAAGGGAGCACAACTTCTCATTCCTTAAGTGTGGGCTGTACAGAATGACTTGTCTTCAAAGACTACAGTCTGGAAGTAAGTGGAGGTGGGGAGAGAGTAACTTGATAGTGAAGAAACCAAATGCTACCTCAGGCAGGAATCAAGGTTAACATCAACAGTGACAAGTTATGTGATGGTGTGGACCCTTGATGTGATGTAATGAGAATGACTTTACCTCTGTCATCTTCCTCCCTAAAACTGTAACTCCAATCTAATCATGAGAAAAACATCCGATAAATCTCATTTGAAGGACATTCTACAAAGTACTTAACCAGTGCTCCTTGAAACTGTCAAAGTCATTAAAAACAGTCTAAGAAATTGTCAGAACCAAGGGGAGTCTAAGGAGGCATGATAACTACATTCAGTGTAGTATCTTGGATGGAATCCTTAAACAGAAAAGGTACATCCTATTTTTAAAAATAAGGATATTGAATGCATTATGGATTTTAGTTAATAATGTATCAATAATGGATGATTAATTGTGTCTGATGTATCACACCAAGGTAATATGTTAATAGGGCAAATAGATGTAGGATATTTAGAAATTATCTAATATCTTTGCAATCTTCAATCTAAAATCTATCAATCTAAAACTGTTCTAACATTTTTTTAATTTTTTAAATACATAAAACAATATACAAATACACATTATGCAAGAATATATATAAAGAAACAGATCCAGAACAAGGGGAGATGTACCTCTTTGGCTAGGAGAAGAGAATGGCAGCAGGGTATAGAGATAAAGGAGAAAGCAGGAAGGTAGAGGCAGGGCTAACTCATCTGTTGGTCCAGTAAACACAATGCCTTAGGTCCAAGGTACTTTTTAAGGAGTCATAAAATATTTAAGTTTCTTTTAAAATCAAAATGAAACTAAGAACTCTTTGGGTTGATGAAAAAGTTTTAATTTGTTTTTCACACATCAGGAAAAAAACGAAATTTTAAGGAAACACAAAAATCTATCATAGCGAGAAAGACCCACACAAACAAAAGTGACTAGGGCCCACAAAAGTCATGGTATGTCCTTGGGAAAAAGTGGGTGGAGAAGGAGCCTGAATTGCCACAAACCGGGATAATAATATGCTGTGAACTAAGAAGAACCACTAACTCATTTCTCTGCCCCTAAGGCAACAAATTAAACAAACCAACTAACAACAAACACTCCCACAGTTGAAGTACCTGAAGAAGTCAGAGTTATCCTGAGAGGGGAAGAGAAAAGAAGTGGCAATCGTGTCTGAGATGACCAGCCTCCCTGGACACACAGGTCTTGAGGGGCCACCAACCAAGTGTTGAAGGCTGTGGCTGACACCTCATCACACACAGCCAGCCCTGTGGGGAGGGGTGGGCACTACACTGATTTCACTGGTGCACAGTAGGGCCTGAGTGTCACCATTTTTAAGAGGATCCTCAGGTGATTCTGAAATTTGGCCATGGTTGAAAGTGTGCCACTGAACTGTTTCAAGAGTAGCAGTGGGGATTAGGAAAATCTTGTACGTTTCAACATTTGGAGTATTATGTGGTCACATGACCAGCAATCCAGCCATCTTGGCAGGAAGGTGTCCAATATTGAAACAGATAAAGGAGAATATGGAGAGGTATGCCCCAGAGAGAGGGAGAAAATACAAACACCAAAACCCTTTAATTATGCATTCACACTTGAAGCAAGCCACTGTATAAGGTGCATGGAGTCCAACTGGGAAAATCATGCTAGTTGGAGCACCTCAGGTAACCATTTACAGTAAAGCCAAGGAATCCTCAAGTTCTCTCCATTCTCTAAGATCATTTCCAGGCTTGAAGGAAGAACTGTAACGGGTTGCCCCTGGGTGCCACAACTGAACCACTTAGGACCAGTATCACAAGGACAGGTTTGAGAATTGAGAATTGTTCCTGGAGCAACTCAGACCTCTGAGGGCAGCCCCTGACCTACAGGCTCCTCAAAAGGAGTCCCTTGCTCTGGTTAGAGTTGAGTTGAAAGCTACAGATTTACTTTCAATATGGCGGCCCTGATGAGCAGCAGGACCTAGGAACACACATTCTGGCGTTAATGACTTCCAGTTCTAGGGTGGTTCAGTATGAGAACATTTTTTATCATGACCTACACTTTCCAAGCTTTTTTTTTTTTTCAGGGAAGAGTCCTGTAAGTAGATAAGGACATGTATTAATACAATATCTGACATAAGTAGATTAAAGAAGAAGAAATATGTTCAAAGGATACATGATTCTTAGTATAAGTGGATTAAAGAAGAAAAAAATTCAAAAATAATGTACTTTGATAAAATACTAAAATAGAAGAATAGAGGAAAACTGTTTTACCATAATAAAAGCCATCTATTTTGATCTAAAAGTCATATTCATGTTAAAATAGAAATAAAATAAATATATCCAGTTTTACTATTATTCATATTCTAGAAATTCTACTCACTGAAAGCAAAAATAAGATAGCAATAAGATACATGTTAAAAAATAAATGATAAAAAATGTCTGAAAGTATTATTTCATAGTTAGATAACCCAAGAGAATAAGCTCGGAAATTATTTTAATTAACAAATGTTTGATAGGTAGCCTGATGAAAGATGTGTGTACACACACACACACACACACACACACACACAGAGAGAGAAAGAGAAAGGAGAAAAAGAAATTCTCATACAGTAACTGAAGTTATAATGAAAAAAACTCTAATCCACAATATCTTCAGAAATGCGATTATAAGGAATAATTTTAATGAGAGACACCTGTGATCTATTTGAGTAAATCAATATTTTACTGAAAGTCATGAAAACTTGAATAAGTGAAAAGCAGCATCATAATCTGAGATGAGCAGCAGCATGTTTTGAACGTACCAATTTTCCCAAAACAATTTATGTTTCATATAAATCTAACCCAAATCTCAGCATGTTTCTTTTTAACCTGACAAAGTGCTCTGAATGTCACCTGGAGGAAACAGGTCACAGATGAAACACAATTTTGAAAATGTATAATTATGGGGGAACAATCTTATCATCAGATATTAATGCATATTATAAAAATGTAGTATGAAAGGCATATAATACTGCCAGAAACTAGACAGACAGCAAAATGGAACAGAAGAGTCATATAGTAACATAGAAGAACGGTTAGCGATAATAATAGAAAGAACCTGTGAGACCTGAGAATTAACAATGGTAGTTTGATAATAATTTTTCCAAATTACTATCCTTAACATTACACCTTGAACCTAAATAAATACTAGGAATATACCAAGCACGTAGTTGACAGTGAGTAAATAGTTGTTAAATGTGAAAGTTAAAGGTAAAACTTAAAACCCCATGAAAAATAAAAGAAGAAAATTGTATATGATATCTAGCAGACCTCTGGAGATGGAAAATGTCCTAGCCTACAGGAGAAAGAAGCAATCACGAGGGAAGAGATGAACAGATTTTGTATGAAAAAATTTTAAATGTATATATGACAAAATATAAAAGGATAGCCTTGGAAAAGAAATCGTATCAAATGTAACAATATGTTCGCGCTTTAACTTACAGAAAGTTTATGTAATGGAATGAGAAAAACACCCAACTATAACAGGCACAATAAAATTTTGGAAAAAAAAAGAAATACAACTAATTGAAACATTTAGAAATTGATTCTCATTAGTATAGTAGTCTCCCCTTACCCGAGAGGAATATGGTCCAAGCCTCCCGGTGAAGGCACGAAACTGCATAGTATGGAACCATGTATATACTATGATTTTCCTATATAAGCATAGTCGTGATAAAGTTTAATTTATAAATTAGGCACAGTAAGAAATTAGCAATAAGTATTAATAAAATAGAACAACTACCACAATATATTGTAATAATAGTTATGTGAATATGGTCTCTGTCTCTCTCGAAATATCTCACTGGACCTTACTCACCCTTCTTGTGATGATGTGACATGATGAAATGTCTACGTGATGAGATGAGGTGAGATGAATGGCGTAGGCATTGGGATGTAGCGCTGGGCTAGTACTGTGGACCTTCTGATGGTAGCTCAAAAGGAGGATCATCTGTTTCAGGTGATCCTGGGCCAAGATGATGAGGACTGCTGGGCGGGTGGCATCTACAGCAAGGGTACACTGGACAAAGGGACGGAGCCAAGCAGTGTGAGATTTCATCACACTACTCAGAAGAGCACACATTTTAAAATGTGTGAATTGTTTATTTCTGGATTTATTTTTATTTTATTTTATTTTTTTTTTTTTTGAGACAGAGTATTGCTCTGTCACCCAGACTGGAGTGCAGTGGTGCGATCTTGGCTCACCGCAACCTCCATCTACCCACGGTGAAGTGATTTTCTGGCCTCAGTCCCAAATAGCTGGGATTACAGGCACCTGCCACCACCACCTGGCTAATGTTTCTTTGTTTGTTTGTTTGTTTTGAGACGGAGTTTCACTCTTATTGCCCAGGCTGGAATGCAATGATGCGATCTTGGCTCACTGCAACCTCCCCCTCCCGGGTTCAAGCGATTCTCCTGCCTCAGCCTCCCCAGTAGCTGGGATTATAGGTGCCCACCAGCACGCCCAGCTAATGTTTTGTATTTTTAGTAGAGACGGGGTTTCACCATGTTGGCTAGGCTGGTCTCAAACTCCTGACCTCAGGTGATCCACCCGCCCCAGCCTCCCAAAGTGCTGGGATTACAGGAGTGAGCCACCAAGCCCGACCTATTTCTGGAGTTTTTGTCTAATATTTTCTAACTGTGTTTTACCGCTAGTAACTGAAACTGGGGAAGGCAAAACTGGATAAGGGGGGACTACCATATTCTGTTCTGTGTGAGTTGTTCTTTCACTTTCTTGACAGTGTCCTTTGAAACACAAATGTTTTTTCATTTTGAAGATACCCAATTTATTTATATTTCTCTTTGTCTTTTTGTGTTTTTAGTGTTATGTCTAAGAAACCATTGCCTAACCCTTTCCATGCATTTTTTTAAATGAATGCATATAGTAGAGGAATTTTCCATAAAGATTGATTTCCTGGCTACATAAACTCTCTGCCCATTCTGTCTCCCCTTTTCTGGGTAAATGTGTAGTTACCCTGTAAAGGAAGCCTTGGATAGATGCAGCACAATATAGAATCTCCAGAGATCACAGAGTGGTAGATAAAATCCGACCAAATACCATTGCAGCACCTACCAGGAAGTTGGCACCCCTTGTTTCTTAGATATACCTGTGATATGATTTCTAGTAAAAAAAAAAAAAATCCCAATGACTGTTTTTCTCCATAGGTTCTTACCATGGAAAATCAAAATGACTGGCTCCTTCAAATAAATCTTACCTGCAGCCTTGCCAAGTCTTCATCTTGGAAACAATGAGCCTGCTTTATATACTCAACACTAGATAGACTTTTATATAACTATGCTGATTGTGAAGCTGATGTTGCAGCATACGGTAAAGCTTAGTAGATAACGTTGGATAAGGAAAGGAGAGTAATCTGTAAATGTGAAGAAAAAAGACTGGAAGGAAGTACACCAAAACATTAATAAGTATTGCACAAATGCTGGAGGGAAGAGCTGCCTTTTACCTTTTATCTGTACTTTATAAATTACTTCAAGATAAATAAATCATGAATTTTATTAACTTGCATTGAAAACCATTTACAACCTAGTCTCAAACTCTATTCAGTATATTTTTTAAGCCTTTCCCCAGATCGGCTCCACTATCAAACTACCATTGTTAATTCCCAGGTCTCACAGGTTCTTTCTATTTTTATGCCTTTGTTCATGATGTTCCCTCAACCTCTAACGCTCTTCCCTCTCATCTCAGCCTGACAAAAGACTGCTCATCTTTCAACACCTAGTTCTAAGACCTTGCACCTTCTCTTTGAATTCTCCACTGAAAAATAAGTATTCTTTCTTCTAGAATTATTTTATAATTTTCCTGTTATCATGTTTCCCTTTTTCACCTGGCCATGAATAGAACTGTGTTTGACTGGTGTCTCCTTCTAGAAATGGAAGCAACTCAGTGGCAGTGCTTAAGTCATAAATATTTCTGATTTTCTCCCAGTCCTTAGTAAATGTTTCTTAAGCTGCACTGGCCATGAAGTAGCATGATAGCATGAAAATAGCAAAGAGGACACAGAAAGTCAAGTGGATGTCATAGAAAAATTGGGAGCACATGAACTTCTGCAGTGGCCCATTCCTTCTGCAAAGGAGCTGCTGTTCCCTGCCACACAGGGCAAGCACAGGACATGACTATGTGTCTGCAGCATGCAAGACCACCATTGTCTGAACTCAACTTACACTGCAGGTAAGAAAGAAGCCTTGCTGCAAGCAAGTCACTTCCCTCTGAGAGCTGGCTAGAAACCTTTCCTCAGTCATCTGCAGCAATTCCTGGTACTGGCAAGTTTTTGCTAATAATGATAAAACTCATAATGTTCGTTCTTCAGAACAAGATAATCTCCAGGTATCATTATTACCTCTCACAGTTGATAAGACTGAAAGTAGTAGAAGTTGTGCCTTCCTAAGAGCAGTGCGTCCAATCCTTGATGTGATCAGTACTCAAGCCTGAGTCATCTGACCTCACGCCCACTGTTTTCTCTGCTTTCTTCTCATTCATTGCCTTCAAAAAGTCTTGGGAAATGGAAGGTGGTCCACGTGGGCCAATGCATCATTCAAAGCTATGGTGGAACGAGGAAGAGGAAGAACAGAAATAGTAAGATACAATTCTCCCTCTCCTCATTCAAGAAATTTGTAAATATAAATTACAGCTTCTAGCAATGAGCAAAAAGCAGTCCTCTGCCAGTTTAAACAGGGTCTACCTCTTAGATTTCAATTAATAGTGTATAGAATAGTCTGAGTAACAAACATTAAAATGGTGACATATTTTCAGGCATTGGATCACAGAAATGAGGCAGGTACTTTTAAAAGTACATGAATGTATTTTCTGAAATTATGCTGCCCTGTGGTCTCATGACAAACCAAGCTTTCATTCATTCACACAGTCATTCATTTAACAAACGTCTATTGGGGACATCTGCAGTGTGCCTGATGCTGGGCAGCATCTCAGTTGTATGTAAAGCTTCAGAAAGTTCATGCACCCCAATTTAAGGACACTTATCTAGAAGGTGCAAGTATCTTATCCTCATTGAAGTAGAAAGAAGAGGGGATTAACAAGCATGGAAGCTAAGTAACAGCTTCATAAATTAACAAATAAGCTTCTCAATGGACAGCCTAATTGTCTGGAATCAGTTTATTTACATAAGTGATTCTGAACTGAATTAGCTAATAAGCTACCTCGCAGAGCTATGATTGAATTGGCTTCAGGACAGATACCTTTTGCAGAAAGGAGAAATTTGTTCAAAGAATGAGTGCCCTGCCTCTTCCCCCCTCCCAGTAGAACTTCTTTTCTGTTGACTTTAAATTATCCCAAGTGCCACCATCTAAAATCATGTCTATTGAAACTGATGTTTTAAAGCTGATCAAATTCCACATCCACACAGAACCAGAGCTATAACAGCGATGTTGGCAAACATCTGGTCTCTAATCAATAATTACCGGCAGGCATAAAGAGTTGTTTTTACAAAATGGAATAGTCTATCTTTGCACTTCACCTTCAGGACTTGTCTTTGTTATGCTGAGAAGCAAACACTACATTGCAGACTTCCTCCAAAAGTTTCCTTCCCACTCTACCCCTGGCAGATGTTCCCCAAATAAATCGAGGTGTCATGCAAATGTGGAAGGAGTGAGCCAGGGAGTTGGCTAATGAGAAATTGAACAAGGGAGACACAGAAGTCTGTGAAAGCCCGGGAGTTAGTGTAGGTAGGAAAATGCTTGGGAGTAACCTGATTAGAAGAGGGTAGGCCTGAGTCTAGATGGATTAGTGGTCATCTGTAGAGCAGGTCAAGGAGAGAGGCCAACAGAAGCCTGGGGCTCACCACCTGGGAATGGTCCATGCTGGGCGTGGAGCAGCTTGAACTAGGAAGAGCTGGGCAAAGTGATAGGGACACTGCAATAGAGGTGGGTCGATTCCAGCACGGGGACAGAATGTGAGTAAAATCAAGAACATCTTCCACTTAAGATAATTAGGTAGAGAAAAACAGGGGTTAAAAGAGCTCAATTTAGAAGGTAAACAGGAGGCTCTAGCATGAAAGCATCACCCTTTAAGATCCAGACTAAACTGTACATAGTTGGCCTTTAAATCTAGTTGAATACAACTTATACCCTGACAGATGCTTTACTGAAATAAAGGTGCTTTGTTTATTCAAGACAAACAGCCAGAGAGAATGGCTACCAATGCCTCATGCAAAACACTGGATTTCATACAGAAATATACCAAGTGTTCAGTAAAACATATTAATTAATTCTGTATCTGCAAGAAAGGATAAATCTGTCCAAATGATTCTTACCTAATATTCTGTTTCTTTCCTACTCAAGTACCAAACAGGGAGGGAACAAAAACCAAATCAATGTACCTTTTTCATTGAAACCTAGAGATTTTAGATTTTGTTTAGCTCTTCTAGTTCCGATTCTTTCACTGATATCATGGCAGATATTGTGTGTTATCTCACTTAACAGGCATCCAAAACCCCCTTTTCTAGACATTATAATGTAAAATATTCAAATGCCCAGCCTCCCTTGCAGGTCAGGATGATTATATAACTCAGGTATTGCCAATAATAAAGACATTCCTGGAGAGGGTTGTCTTTCTTGAGCCCTGAACAGCTACTTATTGAGATTCCTTCCAACCTGGAAAAAAAAAATAAAAAAGTAACCTGTTTGTTTATTTCACATTATCAGGTTTTATATATATAGATAGTCTTGTCAGCTCAAGCTACTATAACAAAATACCATAGACTGGGTGGCTCACGCAACAGAAATTTATTTTCTCGTAATTCTGGAAGCTGGAAGTCCAAGATCCACATGCTGGCATTGTTGAGTTCTGGTCGGAGCTCTTTTCCTGGCTTGCAGACAGCTACATTTTCACCATGTTTTCAAAAAGCAGAGAGAGAGAGAGAGCTAGCTCTCTGGTGTTTCTTCTTCTAGGGGGACTAATCCCATCTTGAAGGCCCAACCTTATGACGTCCTCTAAACCTAATTACTTTCCAAAGGCCCATCTCCAAATACCATCACATTGAGGTTAAGATTTCAACATACAAATGTGGGGGTGGGGGACAAACCTTCAGTCCATAAATTTGTGATAGTTAATTTCATGTTTCAACTTGTCTGCTGCCTAGACACTTTGTCAAACCTCATTCTGGGTATGTCAGTGAGAGTGTCTGGAGATGAGATTGATGTTTGAATTCATAGACTGAGTAAAGCAGATGGCCCTCCCTAATGTGAATGGACCAGCCTCATGTAAACAATTGAACACCAGAAGAGAACAAAGAGGCTAAGAGGGAACTCCTCCTGCCTGACTGCTTTGAACTGGGACATTGGTCTTTTCCAGCCTCAGACTTGGACTGAGACATCGAGTTTTTGTAGGTTTTGAGCCTGCAGGCTTTTGCACTGAAACTAAACATTGGCTCTACTCATCAGTCCACTGTTTAAGGAATTGGGGTACTATTTTCTGGTTTGCAACTTATAAAATATACATACACATATATATATGTGTGTATATATATATACACACACACACACACAGAGAGACACACACATACACGAGTACATAAACAAAGACACTTTTTTTCATCAACTTTTAAGTTCTGGAGTACATGTGTAAAATGTGCAGGTTTGTTACATAGGTGAACAAAACACAGACACATTTTAAAAATAGTTTGTTAAGAGCCAGTTCAGCTTGTGATTAAATTCCAAGTTGACTGTAGGGACAAGTGAGAATTGATTGTAGGGACAAGTGAGAATACTAGAATACTCTAGTATTTAGTGACAAGAAAAGCTTTGCCTGAGGACATAGCACATTTATAGTAGTGGTCATAAGCTTGCTCTCTGAAATCACTTGTAGATTTGCTTCAATATGCTGCCACTTACTAATCACCTGAGGTCACGAGTTCGAGATAAGCCTGGCCAACATGGTGAAACCCCATCTCTACTAAAAATACAAAAATTAGCTGGGTGTAGTGGCACGCATCGGTAATCCCAGCTACTCGGGAGGCTGAGGTAAGAGAATTGCTCAAACCCGGGAGGTGGAGGTTTCAGTGAGCTGAGTTCGTGCCACTGCACTCCAGCCTGGGAGACAGAGCAAGACTCCAGCTCAAAAAAAAAGAAAAAAGAAAAAAGAAAGAAAAGAAAATACCCTGCCACTTAGAAAGTAATAAATACTGGAATTTTATTTCCTCTTCTGTGAATCATTTTCCTCATCTATAAAAAGGGGCAATGCCCTACCACACTCAGCTATCAAGAAGCTTAAAGAAAATTTTCTATGTGATAATGACCATATTCACACTAACGTATGACTTTTTTCTGCTTTCTTGACTCTGATTTTTATAGTCCAATTTAATTGACCTTATTTTTCAAATTACTCAAGGAAATGTGTAGGGAATGATTGAACAGGTAAATATGCCTTCCTGTAACTGCATTTTGGTAGTTTTTATATGATCTAGTGACTAAGAATTCCAGGAAACATCCTCAGTTTCTCTACTTATATTATTTGGTACAAGAACAAACTTTAATGTGGCTCAAAATGTCCCAATTGAACAACTTAATACCCACGGCCAGTATGATTGTGAGGATCCATTAGGCTTTACATGACTTTCAGTTCTTTATCTTTTCACTAAACAGAAACCCTAAGTGTCTCTTCCAGAGTAAACAAAAATAGAAGGGATTCATTCCAAATCTCAAATGTACCACCAGGTTATTTTTTTTTCTACACCTTTCTAAGTCATCATGAAAAAAATGCCTTTTGAAACAGCATGGTGTTCCTGCTCTCAATATTGCTTTTACAGAAAGGTTGAGGACCATTACCTCTTGAAGTCAAAGGAAGTTGCCAGAGAGTGTGTCAGGGGGTAGGGGAGAGGAGGGATAGGTAGAATAAGATAAAACTCTGATGACCTAACTCAGGGACTATAATCGGGAGAGCTTTCAAATTACAGCCAGGTACAAAAGAGACAATCTCCAAAGCAGTTTGTCAACGTTTTTTGTGCTAAAATAATGTGCCTGGAGATTTTTCTTTTTGATTGCAAACAGATCAAACTTAGTTCAAGCAGTGGGTAATTCTAGCATTTTCAAATACAGAAGACACTTTCTTACCTCCCACAACATCTAAAGTAGACACACCACAGGTAGAAATGGTGCTGGCACACAGTGGGTAGCATTACTGCTGGGGACTACCAGATGCCTCTCCAAATACAGTATTTCAAAGCAGCAATTTCAAACCATGCAATATAAAGTTTCTAGCTCTGCTTTTAAGTTACTTTCTATTTGTTATCATCCAAGCAGAAAGCCTGCAATAAATCACTTTTGTTATTAATGTTTATCTGACTTCTGTTCAGGAGAGAAAAGATGTATAGTCAGTTGCCATGTACTTTGTTGGTATTTAGGTAAAATCTTGAGTAAAAATCTTTGATACACCTCAAACAACTGAGGAAGAGGCAGCAGTAAGGCATATAAATAAATCAGCATCGTTTCATTATCCACTTGTTCAAACAGATTGGTGTCCTGGCGCACCTCCTTGAGCATGGCAATTCCGAGTTGCAGGTGTCAGCTCCTATCTGCCACAGTACCTGCCGTGGGTTCTCTCATCATTCCAGAATCACTACACTCAGCAGCATTTTACCCAAAGACTGAAAAGGGTTTCGTGTACAGTAAGTCACCAAAACCCAGACACAAAACAGAGGAACGGATTACCTTTTTCTTTTTTCTGTAGAGACGGAGTCGCTCTGTCTCCCAGGCTGGAGTGCAGTGGTGGAATCTCGGCTCACTGCAAGCTCCACCTCCCGGGTTCAAGCAATTCTCTTGCCTCGGCCTCCCAAGTAGCTGGGACTACAGATGCCCGCCACTACGCCTGGCTAATATTTTTTTTGTATTTTTTAGTAGAGATGGGATTTCACCGTGTTAGCCAGAATGGTCTTGATCTCCTGACCTCGTGATCCGCCCGCCTCGGCCTCCCAAAGTGGTAGGATTACAGGCGTGAGCCACTACACCCAGCCATGGATTCCCTTTCAACTCGTCACATACAAGGAAGAGGCTAACTTCATGGAGGGATTTTGAAGAAAGGATGTACAGGGAACAGCAGTGTCTGTCCCACCCACTCCCCCCTTGTGTGAGAGGGCAGCATCTCGATCCTACATCAAGAGCAGGTGGATGGTGGCCGGAGTCCAAAGTCCACAGCGTCAGTGCTGGCTCTGCTTCTTGTTACCTTTGTGTCCTTTGGCAAGTCACTTCCCCTCTCTGAGGCTCAGTTTCATTAAATCCCAATGCAGACTAATAATAAAACAAACATAAAAATGCACTACGTCCTTGTATGTGTTAAGCAATACGCAAGACACTTTATTTGAAGTATCTCTTCCAATTTTTCAAGGAACCCTATGAGAGTAATGTTATTATTGCTAATTTATAAATGTGGCAACTGAGGCTTAAGCAGGTGGACTCATTTGTCCAGGTCATATATATATAGTACGTGTGGAGCCTCCACACGCCTCCCAAACCCATCTTCTCTCTGAGAGTAACACTGCCCCTCTGGAGATGATATTCTTCCCTTTTTCCCCAGGTAGTCATGAAACTCCCATGAAAGCAGGTGTAAAAACTGCCCTAAATGTACAGCATGAGTGTCATGTAGCTTTGTAGAGCGTCTTCATATAACAGGTTACCAATAATTACAGGAAAAAGGAAGGGAGAAGGGAGGGAAGAAAGTAGAGAAGGGGAGATGGAGGGGAAGGGAGGCTTTTTGTAAGAGGGAAGAAGAGACAAAGATAACTTAGTCCAGAGTAGTCTTTGATTCCAAGGATGAGTAAATAATCACAGCCAAGCGTTTAGTAAAAGGTGATTTATGACCCTAGAATCCTAAATCTTATAAGACGAGAAAAGTTCAAAGAACGCCACGATCAGGAGATGCTGGGCGCAGCTGTGGAAAATGTTTCCAGCACATGGTGCCCCATGGGTAACCCCACAGCACCCCTGGGAGCTCCTGGAGAATACCATTTCCAGCAATGCCACGATACGATTCCGTAATTATAGTGAGTCGGTGCCAGAAGGAAAACCCTTCTTTCATGTAAAATTGGCCCTGACTCATGCCCAAAAGGAAAGCTCACCAACCGCAATAATTGACCAGTGGCTTGTACTCCAAAGAAGAATGTGGCCTTCACGAGCCAAATTACAGGGTTACAGTGTTTCCCAGCCATAAAGGTCCAGTCAGCAGCTTATTATGAGGGCTTTTGCTCCCCTTCTGGAAGAGAGCCCTGACAAGTCTCAAGTATTTGGAATGTTCTCCGAGATGATTTCTAGCAGCTCTTCCTAATCTACACAGCATGCCCAATGGGATGGGGGGAGAAGAGGGGACTCTCTGCCTGCTTTGCTTTTGTTTGTTTTAATCTGATGACCTTCCAGAAAAACTAACTAGGGGAAAGATGCCTTTATCATTATTTGCCATTTTCCCCTTATTTCTCTGGCTTTGGAATGGTAGTTTGCACTTAATTGATTACCAGTTTCTTATTTCCATTTGAAACATATGGTCACCTAATCACCCAATGAAGAGCTTTTCTTGGAATTTGACCACAGAAGTAAAATATATATATATATATATATACACACACACACACACACACACATATATATATACACACACACATATATATATTAGAGATATATAGAGAGAAATGTGTGTGCAATTATATACAGTACTTACATATACTTTATACACACACATTGCATATGTATACACATTACACAAACACACAAACATATATACACACACAGCAAAAGCATGAGTGATTCTTAAAACCTAAGGAAAACTGTGTATTCCTAGTTCCCTTTCAAAAAAAAATTGTGTTTGTCTGTGTGTATGTGCAATGTGTGTGTATAATCTTTCTTTTAATAGACTTTATTTTTTAGAGTAGTTTCAGGTTCACAGAAAAGTTAAGCAGAAGGTTCAGATAGTTCTCATATACCCCCGGCCCCCACCCACACATGCACAGACTCCCCATTGTGAACATTTGCCACCAAAGTGGTACATTTGTTATGTGTGATGAACCTGGTTTGACACATCATTATCACCCAGACCCCATCATTCACATTAGGGCTCACTCTTGATGTTGTACGTTCTATGAGTTTGGGCAAATGTATAATGACAGGTACCTACCATTGTAGTCTTTAAAAAATAGCCAGAGTCATTTGGCCTTGGTGGCTCCATGTGCACGACAGAGAGCCAGAGAGGTCTCCCTCACCCCAGCAGCAGAGCCTATGGCAGCTCTGAGAGTCCCAGGAGGTGGAACGCTTCAGCGGAGCTACTGCACCTCATGCAGGAGCAGGACTAGCTACAGGGAATAAAACCAACAAACTTAAATGTCCCAAGTTCGAAATATAAACCTGTCCAAAACCAGAAATAGAAGACTGGGCTTGTCAAAAATTCAGCTACTCCTGGAAGGGAGCAGACTGTGAGAGCCAGAGGGAAACTACATGAGAGAATCAAAGGCATCAGGTGGGCTGAGCTAGAATGTCTGCAGCTCCCGCTCACTATTTTATTGTGCAGCTCGAATAAGGTTTTTGTTTGAGAACTCATGTTTCTTTGAAGGCATGGGCTGACTTTGTCCCTGGGCTATAAGATGTATTGGCATTTATACAAGCAAAAACAGGCATTTGTCTAATAGGAGCTCCAGGAGATCAGAGTAGACAGAAAGGGGCTGGGCGTGGTGGCTCATGCCTGTAATCCCAGCACTTTGATAGGCCAAAGCGGTGGATCACGTGAGGTCAGGAGTTAGAGACCAGCCTGACCAACATGAAGAAACCCCGTTTCTACTAAAAATACAAAAATTAGCCAGACATGGTGGTGCATGGCTGTAATCCCAGCTACTTGGGAGGCTGAGGCAGGAGAATCTCTTGTACCCAGGAGGTGGAGGTTGCGGTGAGCTGAGATCATGCCATTGCACTCCAGCCTGGGCAACAGGAGCAAAACTCTGTCTCAAAAAAAAACAGCCCACCTGATTCCACCACAGGACCCATCTAGAGACATAATACAGTCATGTATCATGTGGCACTTAAGGATGGAGATATATTCTAAGAAATGTGTCTGTAGGCAATTTTATCACTGTGCAAACATCATAGCATGCACTTACACAAACCTAGATGGTATAGCCTACTACATACCTAGGTTACATGGTATAGCCTATTACTCCCAGGCAACAAACCTCTATAGCATGTTACTGTACTGTAGGCAATTGTAACACAATGGGAAATATTTGTGTATCTAAACATACCTAAACATGGAAAAAATATAGTAAAAATATAATCTGAAGGGACCATTGCTGTCTACACAATCCATCACTGACCAAAACATTGTTATTTGGTGCATGACTGTATCTTCCACATGGTGAGGGAAGATATGGTCAATCCAGATGGGATACCATGAACTACCGTTCAAGCATGAGGATGCAATGAAGACACTGTGGACAGAGTTTACCTCCCACAAACTCTTCTCATTGAAAGTCCCATGAAAGCGGAACTTTTTCTGTCTTCTTCCCCACTACAATCAATATTTGTTCAAAGAAGTGAAAGACAGGCTACCAAAGGTTGTACTTCAGTAACATGAAAATTGAACCCAGAAAGACGGAGCCAGTTGCAAGGAGCAGTGGTGAGTAAAGACACGTGTAAACATGTTGGTAAATCTAAATAAGCAAAGAATGTAAAAAAAAGCAAATTATAAAACTACTAGTTGTTGGATAAAAAATGCAGAACCACAGATTGTTGGACAAAAGTGACTTAGAAGCTATAAAGGGGTGATCAGAGTACAACAGCCTAATGTTCTCAATAGAGCAGTTGAGGCATTGATACCTTGGTATCCTGTCAGTCAGGTGTGCGTGTTAAAAATCAAAGGGCAACCCTGAGCAAGCAATAACCTTGTTTGAATCAGTAAAATTTGGGAAACGTGATTCTTAACTGGAAAAATAAAAATTTTAAAAAGAATCAAGGGGCAACTACTGAAAGAACAGAACAGAAGTCACAACTCTAGAACTAGTAGAAAGAGGAAGAAAGAATGAGGAAAACTCAACCAGTTTAATGGAAACTATAAAGGTAGGGGAAATAGAAAATAGAATGCAAAACATACAAGATGAAACAAATCCAAATATATCATGAATCAAAATACGGGTAGACAAAAGGGTAGCAAAACATTTGGTAATGTTCTAGAGCTTGTAAAGTGCTTCTTACGTATAAAGTTGGTGCTTCATATCTTTACCATTTTTTAAACACCCCCTGACTCCAACATGTTTTTGCTTCCAATAAGCAGCGTCTTCTACTCATTCTCAGAGGGCTGCTCCCTAGGCGACTGGAGCTGCTCTGCTCAAGTGGGTGGAGTACCCTGGAGTGACAGACAGGAGCAGGGGTATGCAAGACACCTGCTGCCAGGCTGGTGGCCTGGAATGACTCTGTGTAACTGACACTGCAGAGTTTCCCGGAAGGGACAGGCTGAAGTTCCTCTCTCTCTGGACATTGGCTGAGACCACACCCTTGCTGGGCTCCCTTGTCCTGCCTGCCTCCCCCTGCCCCACTGTCTTGCAGGTATCTGGGTTTTCCTGTGAGCACTTCCTGAATAAGCACAGGCATATGAAGCCTTAACTCTAAGGTCTGCTCTTGGGGAATCCAACCTGACTCAAAGTTCTAACTTAGCACATTTATTAAATAGAGGATTTCATATTCCTCCCAGAAGTAGCCAATATCACAGCACTGAATATAAACAGCACTTACTAAAAAAGTATGAGTGATTTCAATGCACAAGAAAGCATACTAAATAGGGAAGGAAGAAAAAGCCACACCATTTTAGCTGCCATCTTACAGCTAATAGACATTGGCTTTTGCTGAAGGACTTTACTTCTCACATTCTTATTGTAAAAATAAATTTTATAGTATGATTTTGGTAAAGAAAGACATTCTACCATTGGCTGTAGTCTTTCTCAGGCCTCACTAGTACTCCCTTGCTCTGTGAAAGAAAATATCAGCACGTTAGGAGGCTATGCACAAACCACAGAAAGTATGTGCATTTCCACAAAGAGTCATTTAGCTACTGGAACACTAGATTTTTCTTCCATATCTTATCTTTAGAAACTTGACTTTCATACTCAATTTAGGATTAAACCGTAAAACTGTCAACATGGTCTTAAGGCTGATCGGATGACAAGTTATTTTTCATTATACCTTTATCTCCCATTTAATATCTTTTGATAATTATAATGTTATGGCTCCCACAAATTATTTTGTAATAAATTATGATGATTCATATATTCATCATCTTCTTGCACGTGAAAAGAGAATCCACCTTCTAGGACAAAAAGTGTGGGTATTTTTAAAATGATGTTTTATATTGGATTTGAGGTATAATTTACATACAGTGAAATGTAGAGTTCTAAAGGATACAGTTTAACGTGGTTTTAACAAATGCATACACCTGTGTAACCCATGCAAGCTAGAAGGCATTTCTACCACTCTAGAAAGTGCCTTCCTGCACCTTCCAGCAGTATTCACTATCTTTAAGTAAATACTGTTCTTCTTTCTTTCTTCACAGTGTGGTTTTTCTGTTCTAGAGTTTCACAAAAATAAAATCAAACCATGTGTTCTTTTTTGACCGACTTCTTTCAGTTAGCATGTTGTTTCTGAGACTCACCTATATCATTTTATATATCAGTTAGCATATTGTTTCTGAGACTCACCTATATCATTTTATATATCATCAGTTAGCATATTGTTTTTGAGACTCACCTATATCATTTTATATATCAGTAGTTTATTCCTTTTTCTTTCTAAGCAGTATTCATTAAATGAGTATCTCACAATTTGTTTATCCATTCTCCTGTCAATGGGTATTTTGGTTGTTTTCAGTTTGGGGCTATTATGAACGTGCTGCTATTAACATTTTTGTACAGGTTTCTTTGTGGACATAAGTTTTTATTTCTCTTGGGAAAATATCTAGATCATAGTATGGATATATGTAGATTAAACCTGATAAGAAATCACCAAACAGAATTTCAAGGTGTACTGTTCACCATTTAAAATTCCCAGTGGGGCCGGGCACGGTGGCTCACATCTGTAATCCCAGCACTTTGGGAGGCCAAGGCAGGCAGATCAAGAGGTCAGGAGATCGAGACCATTCTGGCCAACATGGTGAAACCCCATCTCTACTAAAAATACAAAAAATTAGCCAGGCATGGTGGAGGGCACCTGTAGTCCCAGCTACTCGGGAGGCTGAGGCAGGAGAATGGTGTGAACCCAGGAGGCAGAGCTTGCAGTGAGCCGAGATCGCGCACTGCACTCCAGCCTGGGTGACACAGCGAGACTCCATCTCAAAAAAAAAAAAAAAAATTCTTCATATGTTCTGGATAGAAGTTTTTTGGTCAAAATATGTGATCTGCAAATATGTTCTCCCATTCTGTGGCTTGTCTTGCCATTCTCTTAATCATGTCTTTTACAGAGTAAAGTTTTTAGTTTTAATGAAATTCAACTTTTTTTTTCTTTTATGGTTGTGCTTTCTGTGTTCTAAGAATTTTTATGTACTCCAAGCCTTCAATGATAATTATTTTTTGTTTTCTTTTAGAAAATTTATAGATTTAGCTTATAGATTTATGTCTATGGTCCACCTCAAATTTATTTTTGTATATATTGTGAAGTAGAGATCAGACGTCTTTTCCTTTTCATGGGGATATCCAGTTATTCCTGCATCACTGATTGAAAAAAATTTCCTTTCCTCAATAAGTCACTTTGGCATAACACCTTTGTCAAACATACTTGACCATATAAGTTTGGGTCTATTTCTGGGCTTTCTATTCTGTTCTGTAAATCTGTCTATCCTTATGCAAATACTATACTGTCTTCATTTCTATAGCTTTATAATAAGTCTTGACATAAGGCAGTGTAAATCCTTCAACATCGTTCTTTTTAAAAAAATTGTTCTAGCTATTATAGGTCCTTTGACTTTTATATAAATGTTAGAATCAGCTTGTAAATTTCTACAAAAGGTTTTACTGGGATGTGTAGAACCTATAAATAAATTTCAGGAAGATTGGTATTTTAACAGTATTGTCTTCCTTTTTTCTTACAATTACTCTAAAAATAAACAAATAAAACACTTGAGTTTTAAAACTTGAAATAGGACGTAGATTTGGTGAAAAGTTTCCTAAGTTTTAGTAGAAATCTGTTTACTTGTTCAAAAAGTCGCTTCCTAAAAGCAAGAGTTTTGCATTAAAGGGAACCAGTTGCAACTCATTGCCAAGATACTTGAAAATAAATGTCTTAGGATTTTCTCTCTGGACCCATGCCTTAACCTGCCCTTTTCATTTAACAAATATTTATTGAGTGCCTGCTATGTGTCAAGCACCTCTCTCGGCACAGAAAACACCGCTGTCACCAAAACAGACAAAAATCTCTGCCTTTATGGAGATTGCATTTTTTAGTGAAGGCTTTCCAACATCTCTGTGCTGAAAACCTTTGGAAGTGGTCCCCAAGACATCTACATTATTCCAAATCCTGTCCATTATTAAATACTATGTTTCTGAACACATAAAGCATAACTGAAAATAAGCCGTGTGTGTGTGTGTGTGTGTGTACAACATTCTCAAACTCACTCCCTTATGATTGTAGGATAGGAACGTTTTTGACGTTGGCTTTTTGTAGAAGAGCAAGACTCCATCCAGTTCAAGAAAAAATAAAGGCAATTTCCAGAAGCCATGAATATTGGCTTCTGTACGGTTTTCATGTACAGAAGGCGTTCTTATGGCAGCTATTTGCATATAAACCGTGGTTTTTGCTACCAGACAATCTCTGTTCTGACAACTACTTTTGGTATTCTGTGTGGATTAAAAGGAACATAAAGAAGGAAGGGGCTTTTCACATGGGTACTAAATCAAAAGAGAAACCAGCCAAGGGGTTGAGGGTAGGGAGAAGACAAGGAAAGAGTAAGGCCAAGAGAATATCTGATTCCAGATATTTTTCAGGTACAAGCTCTCTGTTGAACCATATATGTCTTTCTCAAATGCCTGTATAATAATTTTTCTTCCTTTCTTCTGAAGGAATATCGTTCTGTTTATCAGCCAAATGTGAAATAACTATTTAGTCATTATTTATTCATTTCAGGGACTCTGACCTTCAAACCTTTGAGGAAAGACAAATTTTCCTCATAAATATGTTTGTACCTTTGTAATACAGCGGGGACAGCAGGAGCAGGGGAGAGAAAGAAAAGATTATCTTGGGGGGAAAAAAACCACTCTATGCTCATATATCCCTGCTACTAATAGACTCAGACTTGAACATAAGCGAGCTAGTTTATGCTTTCTGGAAATGAAAAGGGAAGATACAGCCATGCATATGTGCAAATTTTCCATAAAGGATCTACTAATAGCCATATATTTATAACTTGTAAAAGATATGACTATTCAAATCTTAATTCTCTGCAACACAAGAAACTCATATATGTTTTAAATGGAAAATATCAATCAGTTTTAAATAAATTGGCTTTAAACTCCCTAATTTTAATGAGACTGTAAGTTCAGGCTGATTGATTTGGTAACATAATGTACTTGAGCTCCAATTTTTAATAATTAATTGTTCATTGCAAGGGATTGCTTTTGGGTCATCCCATCCCATTTTGATCATCACCTCATTACTGCTGAGCTCTTCACATCAATTTCTCATTCATTCCACATGCAGAAATTAATGAACAACTCAGAACATCTTTTATTTTCTTTGGGGGAAATAGTTACTTTGGCAGGAAATGGATATGAGCAAATGGAATGACAGTCTAGAGCAAAGCAGCCCTTTTCTGTGTGGGATAAAAGACCAGAAGATGAATCATGAAATGTCTTGGACTGGAACTTCCAGAGGGAGGCAGCCTTCCAAGGGCCAGGAGGAAGGAAACTTGTGACCCTTCCTCTAGTTCCAAAAGGCAGATGTTAAAGGAGACAATTAGACCAGAAGTAGAGAGCAGAACATCTTGAGAGCTTGATGCAAATCAGCAGTAAAACTTGGGGGCAGAGCAGGGTTTTCTCCCAGGGCACAATGATACAAGGTCTATTTTTATGTAATGAAAAATACAGCACATTTGTTACATAAAACCATCTGAGTGCCAGGGATGACAAAGCATATCGCAGGGCAAGCAAAACACATTCTGCTGAGGCAATGTCTGTCTCTATCTCTAGCTCACTACAGTGATCCACTGGGGAAATCAAGGCGGAAGATGGAAACACATCCAGCACACTTTAAGCTACAAAGTTAGCAGTAAGGATTCTTAGAAAAGACCTTGAGGACATTTGGTTCAACGTATCTGTTGAAGAAAAGAGAAGTGACCTGCTCAGTCTCAAACTAAGTATTTGGCAAAACTATGTCTAGAAATAACACTGGTCTCTTGACTACGTGTGATGTTATGAGATGCTGTTCCTCGTGTCCCTTTTGATACTATGTAGCCTACTGTATCAAAGATAAGCATAAGCTTTTAAAAAAAACTTGAGATAAAACTCACATACCATAAAGTTCACCTATTGAAAGTGTACAATTCAATGGGTTATAGTATATTCAGAGTTATGCAACCACCACCACAATCAATTTTAGAATATTCTCAACACCCCAGAAGGAAATCCCATATCCATTAGCAGTCACTCCAGACCACCCCCTCCCAAACACCTGGTGCTAGGCATCTACTCGTCTATTTTCTGTCTCTATAGATTTGCATACTCTGGGCATTTCTTATTGACTGAATCGTATGCTATGTGCTTTTGACTGGCTTCTTTCACTTAACATGTTTTCAGGGTTCATCCACATTGTAGCATGTATCAGTACTTCATTTCTTCATATGGCTGAATAATACTCCATTGTATGGATATGCTACATTTTGTTTTTCCATTCATCTGTTGATGAACAATTAGGTTGTTTCCCCTTTGGGGCCATAGTGGTTAATACTGCAATGAACATTGTTACAGGTTTTTGTGTAGAGATATATTTCCATTTCTCTTTAGTATATATCTCAGAGTGGAATTGCTAGCTCAAATGGTAACTCTATGTTTAAACTTTTGAGACATCAAACTGTATGTTTAAACTTTTGAGACATCAAACTGTCTTGCAAAGGGGATGCATCACTTTACTCTCCACCAGGAATGTAAAATGATTCTCCACATCCTTGTTTTTATCTGTCTTTTTTATTACAACCATTTTAGTGGTTGTGAAGTTGTATTTCAATGTGGTTTTGATTTATTTCCCTGATGGCTAATGATGCCAAGTATCTTTTCATGTGCTTACTGGCAACTCTTCTATCTTCTTTGGAGAAATATCTATTCGGATCCTTTGCCCATTTTTAATTGGGTTATTTGTCTTCTTATTTTTTAGTCATAGGAGTTCTTCATATATTCCGGATATTAGATCCTTATCAGATGTACGATTTGCAAATAATTCTTCCCAATCTGTGAGATGTCTTTTCACTTTTTAATAGCGTCCTCGGATGCATTAAAGTTTTAAATTTTGATCAAGTACAATTTATGTTTCTGTTGTTGCTTGTGTTTTGGGAATCTTATAAGAAACCATTGCCTAAGCTAAGGTCATAAAAATTTTGCCTCATATTTTTTCTAAGAGTATAATAATATTAGCTCTTACATTTAGGTCTTTGATTCGTTTTGAGTTAATTTCTTCATATGATGTGAAGTAGTGAGTACATATTTATTATTTTACATGTATATGCCCAGCTGTCCAAACACCAAACACCATTTGTTGAAAAGACTGCTGATTCTTTGCCATTGACCTTGGCACTGTAGTTGAAAATCAGCTGGACATAGGTGCATGGGCTTATTTCTAGACTCACAATTCTATTTCATTGAACTATATGTCTATCTTTATGCTAGAATCAAACAGCCTTAATTATTACAGCTTTGCAGTAAATTTTGAAGTTGGGAAGTGTGAATCATCCAACGTTGTCATTCTTTTTCAAGATTGTTTTGGTTATTCTGGGTCCCTTGAATTGCCATATGAATTTCAGGATCTGCTTGTCAATTTCTGCAAAGAAGCCAGCGTGGATTCTACTAGGGATTTCTTTAAATCCATAGAGTATGAACTTTTGATAAAATACTATTAAAATGCAATAAAAGAACCAATAATCCATAAGTATCCCTATATTTTTTCAGACTATAATCATTTTATTCATATTTTATTGCGAAAATCTCAGGATTTTTAACCTAATAAAAAATGAAATTGACCTAACAGTCTGTAACTCCCACTACCTTTTCATCCCCAGGGTAAACACTTTTAGATCAGTCTTACCACACTGAATTATCATGACAATCCTGTCAGAGACACATCGTATTATCTCCATTTTAACTACAGGGCAAAAAAATTCAGACGAGTAAAGTAACATGCTCAAATCTCTACAACCAGCAAAAAGGAAAGCCATATTTCCAGCCTAGATCAGTGTTGTATTGTCATGCCCAAGTGCTTGAAGAGTCTGCTATTACTTCGAAAAGCTGTCTTTCTTAAAGGTACCCCTGTGACTCTCCCTTGTTGAGCTGTAGAATGACCTTCTTTCTGGAAAAGAACACAAATGAAACCTGAATTTTCTCAAGAGATTATCAGTTAAATAGCTGATGGGTCCAGTTACTAAAGCATATGTTTTATATTTTAGTCAATGCTATGACATTCAGGAACTCTTCAGAAAAGTCAGCCATGAGTGTTCATATTTTGGATTCGCATCCTATATTTGCACCAATCAGTGATTGTTTCTCAGAAATATTTAGGCACTCTTCAAGCTGGAAAGGTTCTTAGAGAGAAATCTATCACCACAGGATCTTAACAGAAATAAATAATATTCTTTGAAAATGTTTTATCCACGAGTTTGGAAAACAGTAAATTGAACAAAAAGAGTCAAGTTTCTTTGTTTTCAGAGCTTCTCATTTAACATAAGGCTCCTGTGTATTCTAGAATCTGCAAAATTTCTCAAACATGTCAGATGCTTGTCAATGGGGCTTCTCATGGACCTAGCATCTCATAGAACAAAAATTATCTTCAGGAAATGCCATGAATGTCCTATATTTTCTTAGATTTCTACAGCAATGTTTTCTCTGAATAAAGTTAATGTTCACCACTCCCGTTCCCCCAGTCCCTACTACCACCACCACCACCACTTATATTTTTAAATAGAAGCATTTAACAAATTTGAAAAAGTTTCTAATTATTTACATAATTATACTTTAAAATGTCTCCATCTGTTAAATTATCAAATGTCCTGCATATAAGAAACCACATAATAAATTCTACCTGAAAGCCAATGCCAAGAGAAGGTTCACCCCTTTCCACAAATGCATATACATCCTTTCATACTGAAAGTTACATAATACAACATTTTTTTTTTTGCCTTGGTTTCTAGGAATTTATCTAATCTGAGTATCTAGTCACCATATATACCGATCCCTAAAGCACTTATGCTCATCTGCTTTTTAAAGTTGTATTTGTAGGTGTCTTTTTGCCTTGCTTTATGTGTACTAATATCGGATTCTACCTTAATTTTTATTTGTAATTGTGGCAAAAGGATATAATTGATAAATGAATAAAATTTTTACATCAAAACAAAATTTTTGTCACTTTTCTAATTACCATGTCAAATGAAAACTGCTGTACATATTCTTAAAATATGCAAAGGATGAGTTTGAGATTCAATGTATTCAAATTAAGACTCTAGTATATACATGAAAAATTGCATTAAAGGATCTTGAGAAGGGATGCAGTTCTAAGACACACCCCAGGCCAGCTGAAACTCAGTTGCAATGACAGATTTCACATCTATAGAGACTTGCCATGTGTACTAACAAACTATGGGGACAACAAAAATAAAACAGAGCAAAAATCAAACCAAAAAAACCCTACAGTTAAAACATGAGCTTACAAACAACAGTTACAAGAACATACAAAATTGCAGGCATGACGTGTGATGGTGCTTACTTGTCAGATGGGCAACTTTAAGAAGTAGGTTGCAGGATGAGTTACGATTTATGTATCAAACAAAAGCTAACATTTCTCCAGGGCAAAGTTTCAAATGCCATGGGATAGGTAAATTAATTAGTAAGCAAACAAATGTGCTATATATGAAATCAGTGTATATTGGCCTGGCTCCTCAAAACAAAGCTTAAGACTAGACCTTTTTGAAAAACCCTGAATGGAAAGCTTTATATATACATATAAACAAAATTTGGTCTGGAGATTTTCAAAGTCATCTTTGATAAGTGAATTATTTTTTAATTCTAAGGTAAGGATTTAGAGCCACTTTTAGGACATTAATACTTTACATAGTACCAAGAGAGAAATGGAAATAGTCTTTTAAGAAATCACGTTCATAATAGTGAGGAAAAAACTCATAGAGAAAAGAGTGCTCTGAAAGACTCAATTTTAAAGTTCTCATATTGATAAATGATTGCCTTGGTTCCACTCCACCATTAACATTCCCAGTGCTAATGTCCCTTGTTACTTATGGAAGCATTTTTTAAAATAGATGAAGTTTTATGACGCCTGAGAACTCACACTTTCTTCCCAAAAACTGATCAAAAGCTTGTGTTCTACCATATGACCCTTGGACCAAGGGTTAGTACCCCCTGAGGATTGGCTGAACTGAATGAAGAAGCCTGGGGTGCAAAGATTGGTTAGGTCTCTGAGTGTTTAGTTAGGATTAGTGAAGCAGTAAATTGAGAGACAGAAAAGTTTTAGAAGCAAAAGCTAAAAGAGTGTTGAAAGTTTCCAGATATAGACAAGGTCTGAGAAGGCACAACAGGCTTCGGTTATAAGGGAACAAGATAAACCATGATTAGGCAAGTGTGTTCTGAAGAGAGATCAGAAACTACATGTAGAGGATGGGAAGAATCTAACAAATAGGCTCAACTGCAAATCATGACTACTGTTTGAACTGTCCTTGGGACTTTTAATCGGCAGATCATGTATAGAACCATTGGTGAGGGAATGAGTTGTTGTTTGATTTTGCCCTGAAAGAGAAAGAGCAAAACCAAGCTGACTTTGGGAGAGACTGCACTCCATTCTTTCATCCAGGTAGTTCCTGTCCTGGAGTCCTTTAGATTCCTTTGCACTCACTATAGTCCTTCTCCACCCCATTCTCACTACTACTACAATAAAAAAAACCCTAAAAGAAAATCTAGGAGAATGCCCATACAATTTACGAATGGGTATAACCTGCTAACTGAGGCCAGAAACCCAGAAACTATAAAAGAAATAATAGACATTTTAAACTATGTCAAAACTTACAAAATTTTTGTTTGTCATAAATATACTTCAATATGTAAATGATAGAACTGGGAAAAATATTTTCCATGTAAATGACAAAGAGGTAATACCTATACAATGCAAAAAGATTTTACAAACTGACAAGCAAAAAAATCAACTGAATAGAAAAATAAGAAAAGAATATAAATAGCAAGTCACAAGAAGCTGAATCCAAATGGTGGTTATATAAAAATAAAATCCATTAAGTATTGAGAAAATTATAATTAAAGTAACAGTGAGATAACAGTTATAATGATCATACTGGCAACATTTATTTTTTAAAAGTTAACATTTATTGCTAGTGAATATATGAAAGGAATCATGCTTGCATATTTTGCCACTTGAAATGTAAATTACTGTATGTAGACTTTTTGGAAAAGCAAACAGAAAACATCTACTAAAACTAAAAATATGCATATCTTTTGGCCTAGAAATCCCATTCCTGGTTGTCTATTCTAGAGAAATAAACACACACACACACACACACATATATATATATTCAACACATAAGCACGTAATGTCAAAGGAATAGAAATGAAGTGAAGGTCCATCAATAAGAAAACAGTTAAATTAGTCAGGTGCAGTGGCTCATGCTTGTAATCCCAGCACTTTGGGAGGCCAAGGCAGGTGACCACTTGAAGCCAGGAGTTTGAGACCAGACTGGCAAACATGGCAAAACCCATCTCTACTAAAACTACAAAAATTAGGCGGGAATGGTGGCACACGCCTGTAGTCCAGCTACTAGGGAGGCTGAGGCATGAGAATCACTTGAAATCAGGAGGTGGAAGCTACAGTGACCCAAGATCGTGCCACTGCACTCCAACTCAGGTGACGGAGTGAGACTCTATCTCAAAAAAAGAAAACAAACAAAAAAATTAAATTAATTATGGAACTTCTATATCACAGAGTATCACATACTCATTACAAACCACTGCTTAAGGAAATAAGAGAGGACACAAACAAATGGAAAAACATTCCATGCTCATGGATAGGAAGAATCAATATCATGAAAATGGCCACACTGCCCAAAGTAATTTATAGATTCAATGCTATCCCCATCAAGTTACCATTTACTTTCTTCACAGAATTAGAAAAAACTACTTTAAATTTCATATGGAACCAAAAAAGAGCCCATATAGCCAAGACAATACTAAGCAAAAAGAACAAAGCTGGAGGCATCACACTACCTGACTTCAAACTATACTACAAGCCTACAGTAACCAAACCAGCATGGTACTTGTACCAAAGCAGATATATAGACCAATGGAAGAGGGCAGAGGCCTCAGAAATAACACCACACATCTACAACCATAAAATCTTTGACAAACCTGACAAAAACAAGCAACGGAGAAAGGATTCCCTATTTAATAAACAGTGTTGGGAAAACTGGCTAGCCATATGCAGAAAACTGAAACTGTACCCCTTCCTTACACCTTATACAAAAATTAACTCAAGATGGATTAAAGACTTAAATGTAAGGCCAAAAACCATTAAAACCCTAGAAGAAAACCTAGGCAATACCATTTAGGACATAGGCATGGGCAAAGACTCCATGACACCAAAGCAACGGCAACAAAAGACAAAATTGACAAATGGGATCTAATTAAACTAAAGAGCTTCTGCACAAGCAAAAGAAACTACCATCAGAGTGAGCAGGCAACCTACAGAATGGGAGAAAAAATTTTGCAATCTATCCATCTGACAAAGGGCTAATATCCAGACTCTACAAGGAACTTAAACAAATTTACAAGAAAAAAACAAACAATCCCATCAAAAAGCGGGTGAAGAATATGAACAGATACTTCTCAAAAGAAGACACTTATGTGGCCAACAAACATATGAAAAAAAGCTCATCATCACTGGTCGTTAGAGAAATGCAAATCAAAAACCACAATGAGATGCCATCTCACACCAGTTAGAATGGCGATCATTAAAAAGACAGGAATTAACAGATCCTGCAAAGAATATGGAGAAATAAGAATGCTTTTACACTGTTGGTGGGAGTGTAAATTAGTTCAACCATTGTGTAAGACAGTGTGGTGATTCCTCAAGGATCTAGAACCAGAAATACCATATGACCCAGCAATGTCATTACTGAGTATATACCCAAAGGATTATAAATCATTCTATATAAAGACACAAGCACATGTATGTTTACTGCAGCACTGTTCACAATAGCAAAGACTTGGAACCAACGCAAATGCCCATCAATGATAGAACAGATAAAGAAAATGTGGCACATGTACACCACGGAACACTATGCAGCCATAAAAAGGATGAGTTCATGTCCTTTGCAGGGACATGGATGAAGCTGGAAACCATCACTCTCAGCAAACTAACATGAGAACAGAAAACCAAACACCACATATTCTCACTCATAAGTGGGAGTTGAACAATGAGAATACATGGACACAGGGAGGGGAACATCACACACCAAGGCCTGTCATGGGGTGGGGGGCTAGGGGAGGGATAGTATTAGGAGAAATACCTAATGTAGATGACTGGTTGATGGGTGCAGCAAACCACCATGGCACGTGTATACCTAAGTAACAAACCTGCATGTTACAGTTCAAGACCTCTTGCATTTTTTACTCATAGACTGTCCTGTCTCTTAAACCATTTTTTTCTTTTTGGAGACAGAGTTTCACTCTGTAGCCCAGGCTGGAGTGCAGTGGTTCTCAAGCATTTCACACACTGAGAGGATGTGTTTCTATGACTATTCATGATACATACTTTCTGCTGCACCTAGAAAATCCCTTTTTATGCACTTACTATCTCCTAAAAGCTGCAATACCCAATTTTTGTCACTTACTGAATTTAACAGCATTGTAATTTATTTTCATTCAAATGTAAACCCTGTTGAAATTTTAGTAATTTTATTTTCACTTGAGTAGCCCATGGTTCTTGATGTGTTTATTTCTGAAGGATGTTTTAAATTATGTCACTTTGCACAGACACAATTGGTTTGTACATTAAACACCTAGGAGTATGTTTTATATGTACAAGGAAATTTGCCCTCTTCCTTTCTTGCTTGAAATATGGTGCCCTAAGTGTATCTTCCATTGTTCCAGTTTTGCTTGAAGTGAGAATGGGAAATACTTCAACCTCCTCTTAATTCTATGACATGGAAACAGCACTACCTCATTGATGTTGAGGTCACTATCATCAACCTCAGTGTTAAGGGGAGAGCAGAATATGGGGAGCACATGCCCCATCTAAATGAAGCCACTCAGCCCCAAAATTGCTGTCACATAGAAATCCGGGCCCAGGGTTTCCAGCACTTCTGAATTTTCAAGAAAATCCAGTACAGTTGAACCTTGAACAGCACAGGGGTTAGGAATGCCAACAGCTCATGCAGCCAAAAATCTGAATATAACTTTTGACTCCCCCAAAACTTAAGTACTAATAGCCAATTGTTGACCAGAAGCCTTACTGATAACATAAACCATTGATTAAACTTAAAAGATTTCCACAGGAAAACTGATGGCAGCAGTGGCCCATCTGGAGCGGCTGCTGTGAAGATGCCAGCTACAGCGGGGGAGGTGCTGCCAGGGCTGTGCACTCTGTGGAGTCAGCAGGGGCCAAGAACAGGCAGGAGCCCACCCCCTACCCTTTCCCGCGAGCCAGTGGGACAGGAGCCCCAGGCTTCCAGGCGCCGCTGCAGCCACCCAGCCACAGCTCCGGACTAGGGTATCCCTGAGCTCTTGGAGCCCAGGAAGCCCCTTCCTCACCCGCCAACAGGTTTGAAAGTGCCTGCTCCTGCTGCCTGGCCTCTCCCGCTCCTGGTGCCCACTCCAGTGCTGCAGTGCGGAGCAAAGTTGTGGCTGAGCCCAGGCAATGTCCCAACCCAGCTGGGCACGTGCACTCTGTGGGTGGTGCTGACACACCAGCCCCCTGCTGCCTCAGTCCCCTCTGGACTTTGGGTGCCAATCAGCACCAGAGGGAGACCAGGGGGCTGAGGGTGGCTCGACATTAGCCTGCAGGCACCCTTCAGGGCAAACAGCCTGGGCACTGTGGACATCATGTTGATGGCAGCAGGAAGCATCATCCCAGGCAGGAAGTGGCAGGTCCCCAGTGAAGCCCCACCTTCAAGGCAGGGACAGCCTGAAGCCTGGGTACCAGGCTGCCAGTTCCAGGCAAAGTCTGAAGCCCAGAGTGAGTACTTCATTGATGACGGTTTGACTAATCGGATGATGCTTTTTTCCAGACCAACCATAAACCAGTCAGCATTTCCTCCATTCTGAGAACGTAAAAACCCCCAGACTCAGTCAGACTCACATACTCGCTGGACGACCTGCCTACGGAAAGGAGCTGCCCACTGCGAGTCTTCTGAGAGCTGTTCTGTGGCTCAGTGAAGCTCCTCTCCACCTTGCTCACCCTCCAGTTGTCCACGCACCTCATTCTTCCTGGATGTAGGAAAAGAACTCAGGACCTGCCAAATGGCAGGACTGAAAGGGCTATAACACAAACAGGGATGAAACACACCCCCGACTCACCACACTGCAGGTGATGAGAAGGAGAGAAGAGCTGAGGCCCTTCTGGGAGCCCTGACCTGGGGCTCCTCAAGCCAGGGCTGTGACATGCTCTAACACCCTCTTTGGGGTGTTGCGGTTCCTGGCATCTCCAAGCTTTTGGGCGCAATTGCATTCCCCTTGACCAGACGCTGGGGCCCACAGCAGAAGCCGCTTGTGGTACACATGCTCCAGCTGCAGGTTCACACAGGGCTGGAGCCGGCGCTTGTGCCGGCGCCTGGAGTGGCCCACCCTGCTGCAGCCAGCACGCATGGCTACACACAGTGGCCAGACTCCATGCTCGCTCACTCACACACCCCTTGCTGCTCCGCACCTGGCTCGCCCTTGGCAGGCGTGGGATCTGGGCAGTAGCATGAGCCCAGCTCAGCCTGCCGGGCCAAGTGGGCAGAACAAGCCCAGTGGACGCAAGTAAAACCCAGGCGGAGGCGCTGCTGGCCACAGAGGCTTCCAGCTGGTGAAGCAACACCCCAAAGATCTTGTGACAAAACAATACTTATTTGTAAATGCTAATGACAGACTTTTAAAAATGCTTAAATTCCAGGTTGGCCTACCCTGGGAATAGCAAATAAAACACATGTGCAGGTAGCCTCCAGCTGTAGACCACCATTTGATGGTCTCTGATATGGAGAAAGACTGTTGCTCTCATAAAAATCTCCTGTTTATTACTCAGTCATGACATGTACCATGCCACACGGTCACTGTCTTTTTTCCTGTCTTCTCTACTAGACTCTCAGCCCCCTATTGAAAGGGATACATCTGCAGCTGACACAATGGCCGGCACGTACCAGATGCAACAGAATTCTCCACAAAATGATTTAAATTCAGTTAATACTTACTGAGAACTTACTATTTCCCAGGCACCGAGGTGAACCAAACAAACAATGGAACTCATAGTCTATGAATTAATCTTTCATCTTAAAGACTTTTTTATACCCTCAGTGAGACTTTAAAATCTCTAAGTTCTTTTCAAGGCCACATCTATCAGCAGTAGAGGATCAGATGCTGGAATTTCTGTTCCACAGAACTGGGCCATCTACCAAGAAATACATTAAAAATCACCCTTGGCCGGGCGCGGTGGCTCACGCCTGTAATCTCAGCACTTTGGGAGGCTGAGGTGGGTGGATCACCTGAGGTCGGGAGTTCGAGACCAGCCTGACCACCATGGAGAAACCCCATCTCTACTAAAAATACAAAAAATTAGCCGGGCCTAGTGGTGCATGCCTGTAATCTCAGCTACCCGGGAGGCTGAGGCAAGAGAATCGCTTGAACCCGGGAGGTGGAGGTTGCAGTGAGCCAAGATGGCACCATTGCACTCCAACCTGGACAACGAGAGTGAAACTCCGTCCCAAAAAAAAAAAAAAAACAAAAAAATCACCCTTGACAGTGGCTCACGCCTGTAATCCCAGCACTTTGGGAGGCTGAGGCGGGTGGATCACCTGAGGTCGGGAGTTCGAGACCAGCCTGACCACCATGGAGAAACCCCATCTCTACTAAAAATACAAAAAATTAGCTGGGCCTAGTGGTGCATGCCTGTAATCTCAGCTACCCGGGAGGCTGAGGCAAGAGAATCGCTTGAACCCAGGAGGTGGAGGTTGCAGTGAGCCAAGATGGCACCATTGCACTGCAACCTGGACAACAAGAGCGAAACTCCGTCTCAAAAAAAAAAAAAAAAAAAAAAATCACTCTTGACAGTGGCTCATGCCTGTAATCCCAGCACTTTGGGAGGCTGAGGTGGGCAGATCACCTGAGATCAGGAGTTCAAGACCAGCCTGGCCAACATGGTGAAACCCCGTCTCTACTAAAACTACAAAAAAATTAGCCAGGCGTGATGGCGGGCACCTGTAATCCCAGCTACTTGGGAGGATGAGGCAGAAGAATCGCTTGAACCCAGGAGACAGAGGTTGCAGTAAGCTGAGATCATGCCACTGCACTCCAGCCTGGGCAAGAAGAGCAAAAACACCGTCTCAAAAAAAAAAAAAAAAAAAGTCACCCTTGAATTTTGATGGGAATATCCCAGGATTCTTTGAGTTTCTTATTCACGTAATACATCCCTGGTATACAGATGACACGGTAACACAGCACTGGAGTCCGTATTTGGTCTCCTGGCCCTTGTTTTAAAGTCAAAATCTTCTGGATAGGCCCCATTTGGCATGATGTTAACCCCCAGCACATCTGAGATTGTCAAAGCATCTTCTGCCCTGCTCCATCAAATTGGGCACAAATCCTTGTCTATAAGCTTTTCTTCAAACATTAATTGAAGGCCTAATATGTATCAGTCATTATGGGAGCTTTTGGGGGCTACAAGTCTGGATAAACAGGTCTCTCCCCTCAAGTTACTCTCAGATCTAGAGAAGATTATTTTACCTTTATACCAACAGACTTGCTTTTTTGGTCCACAAACCCATTTTGCAAGAGGATCAGTTCTATCTCTTCATCCACCTCAGTCCTTTTTCCAAGATGTGGTCCCACTGACTCCCAGCTTGCCATAATGTGGCAAGTTTGGGCCAACTCAGGGTGGCCTGTGCCCATGAGTTTGCACTGACCTGTTCTGCCTTAGAATATGGTGCCACATTTACCCTCATGGGTGTGCCGATGAAGACTTCACTACTTTTATTCCAGACAATGCCTGCCTCACACCCTCATCCTTTATTGCACCTATAAGCAACCACACCCACACCAGAATTGCTCTTAACACAAGATTTTTCAGACTTTTCTAGATGATGTTCCCAGAGTAATCACACTCATACTTTTCTTGTTTCTTTTTTTGAGGCAGGGTCTCACTCTGTCATCCCAGGCTGGAGTTCAAGGGCACAATCATGGATCACTACAACCTCAACCTCCAGGCTCAAGCCATCCTCCCAACTCAGCTTCCTAAGCAGCTGGGACTACAGGTGTGCACCACCATGCCTGGCTAATTTTTATATCTTTTGAAGAGACAAGGTTTTGTCATCTTGCCTAGGCTGGTCGTGAACTCCTCGGATCAAGTGATCCATCCAGCTCAGCCTCTCAAAGTGCTGGGACTACAGGTATGAGCCACTGCGCCCGGCCCACACTGGTACTTTTCAAATCAACTGCTACTTCCAAATTAACGACCACTCTGTATTAGTAACAGTAACATTAGATGCCATCTATTGACTATTTGTTGTCTTCAACACCCTGTATTAAACTCATGGCATATGGCATCCAAAGTAGTCCTTACACATACACATCCAGTGTCTAAAGTAATCCTTACGATAACCTGGAAAGACATCCTTTCAAGGAATCTGGGTTACGACATAAATATGTTTGTATTGCACACTGTTTATAGAGGACACAAACTTTTAATTCTCACCTATATTGCAGGCCCCCTGACCTTGAGATATGGGCCTCTTACATGTCACACACAAGTCATGGGAACTAGGAGGACTAGCTCTGGGTCTCCCTGCCTAACCTTCGCAAACATACTATATTCAACGGTAGCCACAGCTGCATGTTGGCCGGCAGGCCTCTCACTAGGTGGTCCCCCCAGAATTCAAATAGGAGGAAGGGCACAGGTGGTAGGGCATCAGTGCCCTCTTTTCCTTCAATCCTTTACCTTTTACTTCTTTCCTCAATCTATCTGCCCCACCTTCCTCCAGGTAAGAGTCCCTGGGTCCCTCTGAGTGACCTCATAAGCATTTTCACCCAAGTTGTTCTCTCTGATTCTTGCCTCCACTGGCTGGCCTCCTCCTTCCCATGGTGGAAGGGCTCCTACCATTTCCTATATAATAGGACAGTCCCTTTAAACTTATATTTTCTCCTCTCAATACTGTGTCTTGGCTCTTGGTATGCTAAGAAGTATGAGTGGAATTAAGATAAACATTTTCTCTTTCAACACACCCTAGCTTCCAATGTAGACTCAACAAAATCTACTGGAAACCCAAAAGTGAGTGCTGATCTTCCTGATCTAAGCATCTCTGATGAAATTAATGTCTTGGGTAAATGAGTTGCCCTTTAGACAACGTAATTTATGGAGAACAAAAATACATTAGTATAATACACTTTTAAAATATTATCCCAGGGTCACGAACACTCATAGTACAAAGAGGTTAAAGCTACATTCATTCCTTTCTGCCTCAAAAAAATATCAAAAGTAAGCAGTCTTCAGAAAGAATAAAATGCAATTCATCACCATCTATCGGCACCTTCCTGGATGCCAAGGGGAAGACGGAGGAGGTAGATATGCATCCACTACCACTCTGCCTTCCCTTCTACTCCCACCCCAACTCACTTCATTTTCCCATTATCTCCATTTAACCTGCTGTTATTTCTATTATTATACTCCAAAAATCGTCTAATTCACTCCTTTCTCCAGGTGACGCCTTTATCTTTTTGCCTCAACATCATTATTCTTACATCAGGCCAAGAGTCCGTATTTTTAAGTTAAGAATGATTGACAAAGCCTGTGGTTGTTTCTTTATTACTAATGACATACTTGTTAATTGATATTTAACCATTTCTGGGCAGTGTGGATGAATCAAATTTTTGAATAATGGGTATCTGGAAATGTATCTATACTTTCTAGTATTCACTGTGTTTAAAATAGGCATTTTCAGTGTTTTCACACTAAAGTATCCTTTATAGAATGTTACATTAAGGTATAACGTGAGGAACCTCTCTGTTTTCCAGATGGTGACATTAAACCTCTTGCCCAAGGTGACTCAGCTAGTAAGCGGCACAGCCATGATTTAATCTGTCTTACTCTACCTATAATCTGTGTCCCTAAGTGCTAACATAGACTGCCTCCCTATAAATAGGACCCTGGTTTATGCCTACAGTGCTATTCTTTGGGACAGCAGGGCAGTTTGCTTCACCCCCAGAGTACTGATACAACAATACAACCTATGACTACCTGCAGAATGTCCTGTGCCTTTCTTAGTCGTTAGTCTCTCAACACACCCTCCACCATAAAGCCAATTAGAAATAACAATCTGGCAGAATTCTGCAAATCCCAATCTCTAGACCATGTATCAGCAAACAAAAAGTGACCTGTTGCAAGGATGTCCTAAGCAAGTAAAGAGTCTCGAGAGGGCCGGGCACGGTGGCTCACACCTGTAATCCCAGCACTTTGGGAGGCCGGGGCGGGTGGATCACAAGATCAGGAGTTCGAGATCAGCCTGGCCGATATGATGAAACCCTGTCTCTACTAAAAATACAAAAATTAGTTGGGCGTGGTGGTGCATGCCTGTAGTCTCAGCTACTCAGAAGGCTGAGGCAGAAGAATCACTTAAACCCGGGAGGCAGAGGTTGCAGTGAGCCAAGATCACGCCACTGCACTCCAGCCTGGGCGACAGAGTGAGACTCTGTCTCAGAAAAAAAAATAAAAAATAAAAAAAGAGTCTTCAGAACAGAGCCTCATCTGGCATCACCTTTAGCCCAAAACTCTCAGCAGCACGACCCCGGAACCCATCTCTGCCAAATTCATTGTGTTCAATGGTGAGTCTTTGAGTTATGCATTTGATGTGTTGACTCATTTTATTTTCCCATTGTCTACACTTAACCTGCTGTTATTTCTATTATTATACTCCAAAAATTGTCTAAATCCTTTCTTAGAATGAGGGGGTAGATAAACATTAACCAGATCAGCCTAGAGTGCTCATAAAAAACTCTAGTAAGTGCAAACGTAGTGTTAGAGTTAGGAACCAGCAACCCCATTGTGTAATATTCCTTCCTGGTAGTTGAGTGCCATTGACCCACCTGATAAAGCCCAGACCCTTCCTGAGCTGGATGCAGGGCAGAGCTCGTGGGGACAATGTCAGAGGCTGCAGAAGATTCTTAGAGATGGTGGGAAGAAACTTCCAGGAGACTTACACTGACCACCCCATGGCTGAATCTGTCCTCCTGCCTATTGACATATTAATGCAGACAGCTTCCTTCAGGGGCAAGGGCTATCAAGACTCTTACATGTTTCTCAGTGTCTGCAAATGGGCTCATTTCTAGTCCCTAGGAAGCAGCATGGAACATTGGAAAGATAAAAGATTTCAAACTAAATCACAGTATCAAGTCTTACTGGTCATGTGATCTTGGAAAGTTACTTAAAGTCTCAGACCTTGTGTTACCCCATCTATAAATTGAGTTAGTACTACCTTCTTGCAGGATGTCACAAAGAGCAAATGTAAATGAACCTGGTTCTGTGTAGAGATTGGTTGATAGTAGATAGAGCGTGTCCATCACCCTGTCGCTGCCCTTTCCTTGCAACCTGGCCCCAACTCTGCCTTGTAGGCTGTGTACTGAAATACTTATTACTAATTCCGGTCCTTCACACTGCCTAGGTTGCATGTCTACTCAATTGTCATTTATAAAAAGACTAACATTAGAACAAATGTGTGTGTGTGTGTGTGTGTGTGTGTGTGTGTGTGTGTGTCTTTTTTACTACATTGTGCCAGTTGACTGACTAGGTTAAATTCTTTATGCATTAAGAGAGGATGAGGGCAAGGGCAATTATGTGGTTTGGTGTTCATTGAACACAAGCCAGACCTTGAGCCAGAACCTCCAGCTTCTGTTGAAGGACCTACTACATGCTGATACTCTTAATACACTCCCTCGTTTTATATACACAGCATCCCTGGAAAACTGATTGTATAGACTGAAGCACAGAGAATTTAAATATTTCTTGCATCAAGAAAATAGCAGTTAGCCTGTGTGCTTTCCAAGACAATGTTCTTCATTTTAAAATACTATGTGCTACATGAAATGTCTTAATTTAAAATAGTATAGCAGGTCTCAAATGCATTCTGTTATACTAACCCACGCATAAGGAGGAGCTATTAGGCCAATAAAATCAGAATCATCCTGCATTTAAGGAATTCACAAAGTACATTCCTTTCAGAATAAATGTTGAGAAAATATGTTGGCACTGTCAAACATAAAAATGTGAAGACGGGGGAAAAAGTGAAAACAGTAAGAATTGCTGCTGGGCACTATTTCTTGAGAGATTCTGAAATGTAAATTTCACAGCAAATTTGGTGTTTGTAGAATTTGTTGTTCGGTTTTCTTCTTGCTGTGTGTGCTAAAGTTAATTTCATATCCCCAAAATGTCCCAGATCAGTGTATAAAAATGGTTCTCAAAACTTGATTTTGTAGAAACATATGTGTTAATAAACTTATGTAAATCCTGTTAAGGAGGATGTGAGGGCAATTGTGTTAAAATACACCTTCCTCTGGTGGCTGGAATGTAAAAGAATGCCAACTTGGTCATCAAATGATGAAAGATTCATTCACCCTTTCATGTTCTCCTGTGTGGTGTGTCTGGGCAGTGAGTCTGGTGAGGGCCTGAAGAACAAGTAGGTAGGCTGTCATCAGAATCTGGGGGTCAGGCAACTGTTGGAGCCTGAGATTCAAGCTGTGGGTGGTGGGCCAGAAAGACAAAGAGGCAGGATGAGGCCAAGACCCATACTGGGAGGTCACAGGAGACGCCAAAGCCACACAGGGTGGGTCAGAAGACAGCAGCCAATGTCCCTGGAGACAAAGCACAGGAGAAAATCACTATGTGTACCAGCAAATCTTCAGGTAGACCACTCTCAACCACAGCAGTGCTTACCCCAGCATACGAAGGTACTACCCCAAACATGACATTCTGAAAGTTACATTGTTCTAGGCATACTGGGCACACACTGTGAATACAATGACTTCAGTATCATCCTCTGGTCCGCACTGCCCAAGACAATGGCAATCCCGTCTACCCTTTACATCACTTTTCCATTTATTCTATTTATCACATTCTATTACATTTACCTGCCAAGTGTCTCCAGAACCCCTTCTCTCTCCTTCTTTCTTTCTGCCATGGTCCTTGTCACATCCTGCCCTTATGAGCAGACTTCCTACTGCTGTTCTCATTTACACTCCCCTGGGATCCCCACCTTTAATCATATTATTTCTTTGCTTAGAGACTCAGAACATACGCTCTACAGCCCTTTGCTGTTGAGGTTCATTCTGGTGCTGATACGGATGGATGCTGTGTGCCTGGCACTGCCACAGGGACAGAGGATACTTCTTCCCTCAGAGAGCTCACCATGTTTTGAAGGATGAAATCCAGATTCATCTCCTCCCATTCAACCCTGTTCACATGATAATCCTACCACAGCATGTTCATCCATGCTCTTTAATACCTGCTGGCCTCTCTATTATTCCTCTGCTTGTCAAACTCTTACTCATCCTTCAATACCTAACTCCCTAATTACCTTGTGCATAAAATTTTTCTCAGTTCCCTAAACAGAATTTGCTCCATGCATATTTCCAGACCCCTTCTCTCTATAGAGCATTAATTGGAAACCCCATTAATTATGAATATTTCCTTAAAAATTGTTCTCTACTACCAGACTGCATCAGTTTCTCAAGTGCAAGAATCATATTCTGCCCACATTCGCATTGCCAAAAAACAAGCAGAGTGCTAAAATGCATCAGGCATATAAAACATGGCTTTGAAAATTAGTTTGCTAATTAATGCAAGAATGCAGACAAGGTTGGGGAAATCAGACTGAAATTGACACAAAATAACCACACCCACATCCGTATTTCACTTAGTGTACTGAATATTACAGATGGAATGCAAGGGAAAACACCCACAATGTTTGTGGGGGAAGAGGTGGGTGGGGAGTCTTAGGAATGCAGCAACCATATTTCTAAATGACTTGAGAGGAATTTTTACATAAATTATTTTCTCCAAAAATATTCAAATCATATTTCTAATTCTTATCAGCAAGGTCATCTATCTATTCCTGCCTCCTTAATCTCTTCATTGACCTGGTGTTGAATTGATTTTTATTAGATCATTTTCCCTTATCTAATTAAAGCCATATTTCAGGAGGTGGGAAGTGGGTCCAGCTCTCCCTCATCTCCTGCACCATCCTGTGAGCATCCCCCAGCAGCAAGAGCTTGGACACCAGAGGCGGAGAGAAAAGTCAATAACAGACAGCAAGGAAAGAAGCCGAGGCATCGATCATCTCATCAGACTTAGGAGTTGAGACAAAGCCACAGAATTCAACATCACATTAACTCTGCTTGCACTGGAAGGGAGGAACATTTTCAAATAGATTCAGGTTGCAAACGTGGGCTACGTTTTAAGGCAATTTAACCTAACCCAGGATTTCTTAACCTTAGCATACGTGACATTTTGGACTGGATAATTCTCTGTCCTGTGCATCGTGGGACGCTTAGCAGCATCTGTGACCTAACCTACTAGATGCCAGTTGCAACCCCAGTTGTGACAACTAAAAATTTCTCCAGGCATTTTCAAATGACCCCGGGCGGGGGCACAAAACTGACCCCTAGTTGAGAACCCCTGATCTAACCCACCACGAACAAAGAAAAATGCCTCCAACTCCATAAAGAAAGCCGCCTTTTCAAACGCTTTAATAATAAAATGTAGAATCGTGTCGCATTTATATTTGGATAAAAGATGTTGTACATATTACCCTAGAGATAACCCCTAAACTCCTCCAAAAGAACATGGAGCAGAACCTGACATAACCTCAGTCAACTGAGGTCTATTTTCAGAGAGCAGCTGAGGCAGTTTGCCATGCCAGGAGGCTTTTCCTTCTTTGATATTTCTGGAGGGCATGCTGCTGCCTGCTCTGCAGCCAAATCAGAAGCAAATAACATGATTTCTGTTTTAAACATGAAGCAAAATTCAAAGGAATGTTGTTTACCTGAAAAAGCAGGCTGCAAGAATCCCTGATTTACAAACAGGAGCCCTCACACACCACGTGAATGACTCAGCACTGCCCCCCTCTTCAATCCACTGTGCCTGAAATCAGTGAAAATCAGACAAAAGGCCCAATGAACATTAATTCAACAGAAAAAAAAAATTATCTTTTAAAAACATAATCTTTTTATAAATTCTCCAGGCCTTAATTTCCTCACCTCTAAAATCAGGTCATAAGACCTGTTTCATAGATTTATATAGAGACTAAATGAGACATTGCACAAGACAAGGCATCGGTTGGCACTTGATATGCATTTCAATAACTGCTTAAGGCTGGACACGGTGGCTCACACCTGTCATCCCAGCACTTTGAGAGGCTGAGGCAGGCGGATCACCTGAGGTCAGGAGTTTGAGAACAGCCTGGCCAACATGGCAAAACCCCGTCTCTACTAAAAATACCAAAAACATTAGCCAAGTGTGGTGGCACGTGCCTGTAGTCCCAGCTACTTGGGAGGCTGGGGCACCAGAATCACTTGAACCTGGGAGGCGGAGGTTGCAGTGAGCAGAGATTGCACCACTGCACTCCAGCCTGGGCAACAGAGCGAGACTCCGTCTCGATTAAAAAAAAAAAAAAAAACCCTCAAATAAGCAATTTTAATTTTTTTAAATCAGTTTTTCTGGTATCAGGTAACAGCTAAAATTAGAATCTGTTTTCTTCTTTTTGTAGGGATGGAGTCTCACTATGTTGACCAGGCTAGCCTTGAACTCCTAGGCTCAAGCAATCCTTCTGCCTTGGCCTCCAAAAGTGCTGGGATTACAGGTATGAGCCACAACACTGTGCCTTAGAATTGGTTTTCAACCTCCTCTTGCCTACCTGAACAATCCAAAGCATAGAGAAAATAAAAGTTGGACACGAATCACTTACTAATGTATGTGCTTTTGTGCCTCAAGAAAATACAAAAGGTATTGAACAAATGTTTTGTGTAAAATAATCTTCTAACCCTAACTTCTTAAAATTTAACAAGCATTGGTCTCTAAGCTGGTGACTGGCCTGACATTTCATCTCCTAAAATCATTTAGCTTATAAGATGTGTTACTTTAAAGAATGGCAATTTTATATTGTATTTGTTTATTAATATACTGTTCTCAAACCTATAGCAAAGGGTCTGTTTGTTACAAGGTTTGTGGAATAGAAAATAAGAACCAAGACAATTTGATATGGGAATCAATGGGATCTTTTTTTTTTTTCTCATTTTAGAACAATAATAAAATACCTAATTTTCTATTACAAAAGATTTGTATGCTTATTAGCATATTTGTAAAACATAGGCAGCATCAATTAAAAAATTGAAACAATCTTCAGGCCTAGATTATATGGTATATGATATTATTTTAGAGTACCTAATTCAAAGAATGGCACTTTTTAAAACTATTTATTTATTTATTTTGAGATGGAGTTTTAAACTATGTATTTATTTATTTATTTATTTACTTATTTTGAGACGGAGTCTCACTCTGTCACCCAGGCTGGAGTGCAGTGGTGCAATCTGGGCTCACTGTAATCTCTGCCTCCCAGGTTCAAGCGATTCTCCTGCCTCAGCCTCCCGAATAGCTGGGATTACAGGCACCTGCCACCATGTCCAGCTAATTTTTGTATTTTTAGTAGAGACGGGGTTTCATCATGTTGGCCACGCTGGTCTCGAACTCCTGACCTCAAGTCATCTGCCCATCTTGGCCTCCCAAAATGCTGGTATTAGAGGCATGAGCCACCATGCACGGCCTCAAAAAATGGCAGTTTTAAACATTCAAAATCACATTTCCTTTCAACAAATATTGACCCTCATCAAATGTATGGAAATAAATCAAAACTAGGTCTAGAAGAGCCGATTTTTAATGCACAGGCATCAAATAAAAATAATCATGCTAAATAGCTAGATGGGGGAGGTGGGAGCAGGGTTGAGGCTGAAACACGCACCAAGCCAAGTCTTAGACGTAGACCTTTTGGTGTTTTATAGTGTGTTATATTGTGATCTTACCCCTCATGGCTATTTTTATTATTCCATCTTCCAGATGAAGAAACTGAAGTTGAAAGATAGTAAGTAACTCGCACAAGCTTACACCCCTTAGTGGAGCTGGGACTGGAGCCTAGGCACTCGGACTCCAGAGCCCATGAGGAGTGATGCCTCAGTAGACGTCGACAGTGAGTACAAAGAGACCTGCGAGTTTCTCTGCCACTAAGTTAGCGCTGAGGCAGTGACTGAGACCAGGCCTATGAAAACATACGACCACCTAAGGATCATGCTGATTTCAGTGCCCACCAAGTTAGTCTCAAGCTGAAACCATCCAATTTTCCCATAGAACTAATATTTATGATTTTTGAATAAACATAGAAATTCACCCTCCCTTGTCTTAAAACTTGAAACTTACATTTGTCTCACCTGAGTTCCTTCCTCAAGAAACTGACCCTCAGGCAAGGGAATGAAACTCATCAGATCATCACATCCAGACAATGAGATGCCAGTTTCCTCATCTATCATGATTGCTTTCTTACCAGTCCCTAATTCCTATTTTCCTGCCTTCCCTGCTATATAAATCCCCCAATTTTCATAAGCTGGGGAGACAGATTTGAGAATTTATCTCCCCTTCTCCTTAACTATAGCACCTGATTACAGGTGACTAAAGCCTTCTTCCCTGGCAATACTCATTTGTCTCAGTGATTGGCATTCTGTGCGGCAAACAGCAGGGCCTAGGCAGAACCTCTGGAGTATCAGTAACAAATCCGGCCCCAGGTAATGAAAACACAAATCATGCAACCTGAGTTTCTCATAGACAAGCCTATCTTCCCCATAGATAAGTCACCAAACAGGAAAATCAAATGGACTCCTCTTTCTAAAAGATTCTTCTCAGTTGGAGATTTCTAAGTAGGTCATTCTCTTGGATTGACTCCACAAAGTGTACAGACCCTTTATTATTCTATGCAGGATGTTGCATGCATCAGGGCTCAGAACTTTTTGGCAATGAAAAATTTGTTCTAAACCAAAAGAGTACGTGGGTCACGAGCCTCTTAAGAACGTTTTAATGCCAAGATCCAATGGAATCTAATTTTAAGATAACAATTTCCATGGTCAACCCTAAAATAGTATCAATAACCAATAAAATATTAACTTATCAACATGTCACATGCACGGATGCTCAAATCCAAAAGACAAATGTGTCTCAAATTTTAAGTTTCAACCCAGACTTTTGTCAAAGCACCCATTAGACAAACAGCAGGCACCATTGATAGGCACCAGAAATTCAAACATAAATCAAGGTAAAGTTCCTGTCTTCACCGCTTATTAAGGAATGATATGCAAATGAGTATCAATAGTAAAATAACCCAGAATGATAAACGTTATTGTAAAATATGTGCAACATTATAAGGGATCAGAGAGGGGTAGATTGATTAATTATTCATGTCGAGGAAGCATGAAGAATTACAGAAATGAAATGGCATTTGAGCAGACTCTTGACAGATGGGAAGGAGCTTGCCATACAAATGAGTAATAGTACAGTGATGTCGGAGTTGGGGTAAACAGTTCTACCTTCCTTGAAAAGAAATATATGGAAAGGAGAGTCCAGACGCGGGACTTGGCACATGGGCTGAGGCAAGGATGCAGTGAACCAATTCAAACATTTTGGGAAATACCCCAACAATAATAATGAGAGGTATCAGAGGAGCTCCATGCCAGGAATAAGAATGAACCTATCTGGGCCAGGCGCGGTGGTTCGCGCCTGTAATCCCAGCACTTTGGGAGGCTGAGGTGGGCGGGCCGCCTGAGGTCAGGAGTTCGCGACCAGCCTGACCAACATGGAGAAACCCCATCTCTACTAAAAATACAAAATTAGCCAGGAGTGGTGGTACATGCCTGTAATCCCAGCTACTCGGGAGGCTGAGGCAGGAGAATCGCTTGAACCCGGGAGGCGGAGGTTGCGGTGAGCTGAGATCGCGCCATTGCACTCCAGCTTGGGCAACAAGAGCGAAACTGTCTCAACAAAAAAAAAAAAAAAAAAGAATGAACCTATCTGAGTTAGAATGAACACAATGAAGGCAGGGTACTCAATTAGAGACAGAAGAATAGGGACAGAAAGACCAACTAGAATGCAATGTTACCATATTTCAGGAGGGAGGTAAGTCTCAGGGCACAACAGATAAACAAGTAGGGGGTGCTGGAAGTTGCTGAAAGAGAGAGATCAGGGAGATAAGGGGACACCCCACAAGAGAAACTGGATGCTCCCTGGCCCTTTGAAAATTGCCAAAAATAGCTCCATATTTCACAAGTATACCACGGGCCTATACACATCTTGCATAAAATAGGGACACATAATATTAATGTCAATAGAAGACTTAGATGTCACCGCATTAGACAAGGGCCCTAATCCTCAGGAGCATCAGTGCTCTGCCAGACACTGCACTGGATATTTTGCACAAGAAATGTACTCCAGGAGCTTACTGGTATTCTTGCCCACTGGCAAGGCTGGCCATCCACCTCTCGCATGGGTTGGCCCTAGGGATCCATCAAGAACAGCCTCATTTTACTGTTTCTCTCACCCAGCAGCAAAAGGAATCACTCTTTTTGTGGCAGCAGCCCTACAAATCAATTCACTTAAAACTGGCTCTGCTAGAACAAAACACAAGCCAAGGGTTCCGGGTCTCTTTTCCTCCCGATGATTTGCACAGATCAAAAACTGCTCCAAGATTTCTAAAGAGAAGAGCTCGGGCTCCCCCCGCCCAGCACCATTCTGGGCTGGAATGAGACGAGACCACCCTGGGGGACAACTGAGATGCTCCTGAAATGTCAGAGGCAGCACTGCAAGCCTCTGATCCTCCACCACCTTCTGCGCTATGGATATTGATTTCAGACACTGTTACAGAGCATAACTGAAAGTCTGGACCTTTACAGCTTGTCATTTGGGCCAGCCTTTCACAAGGGACTTTGCACCAGCAGCCTGGTGTCCGGTACCTTTGAAAGCAGAGCCAACCCTTCCGAGGCTTGTTTCTTCACTCCATGAGGTTTGATCAATGACACAGCCAGACATTTTCATTATTTTGACAAGCATACATAGAGCACTCAGACCAGGAGACAATGGAAGGCCTCCAGCCATTGGTGTGCACGAGAATTAAGAAGAATAAAAATGTCAGCATGCTCTGATGTCTTCATCTTGACACTTTTGAGGGAGCTGTTATCCTTTTGAGACAGTCTGCATTTATTGTGTTACACATTGCCATAGACTTTGGAGTGGGAAAGAGAAGATGAGCAAGGGAAGTCCATGACTTAAAGAAACTTGCAATCCAGTTTCTTTAGAAACTTGATTGAAAAAGAGATGTGGCTATAAATGCTACAGGAAAGCAAATCAAAGTGGGTGGGGCTGCATTGGTGCTGGGATAAGTGAAATTTTTAGTCGTGTCCCACCTGCCTTATTAAAAGGAGAGAACATTAGGATCAGAGAAGAGGCTGCCCATTTGATGCTGAAATGCCAATATCAAAAAAAGAGCCTTCAATCTTGAACTCATGATCAGATAGCTCACCTAGCTGGATATCCTCCCCACATTTTAAATCCAAATAGCATGGTTAGATTGATCCCAGTGTCTCAAGTTTTAGAACCCTATGTTTTGAGTAAACGATATGGATTTTTTGCAAACCACATTTTTGTGAAAAGAAGCAGAATGGGAGAATAAAGAAACCTACACATAGGAAAGCATGCCCTGAGCAGTGAGACTGCCTGATATTGAAAATGACCTTGAGGTTTCTCTCTTCAACCTCAGAGGACCACAGGAAGAAACAGCAAAACTAATGGTGGAAATAAAGTAAGATAGGTATTTAAAATGTCTACAATGCTATCTATTTTTAATGATCTCGGATGCTAGAAACCAAGGAAGGGAAGTCAGCCTTAAAAAGAACCTGTGAACCTTTGCCTGGTATCATATTTCACAAAGTTTTTAAACTTCCCTGTATCAACTTTCATGATATTATAAGGATATTAGCAGCCCCAGTGCTTGGGATTAGACAGAGATGAGGAGAAGGAATGCACAGGGGAAAGCATATAATCAAAGATCACTAAACGTAAGCTAAATTAATAAATAAATGGAGACAAAAGTCAAACTACATTTTTGCAAAAGAATCTTCACTATTTGCTTATACATCCTTTCATCCAGTCAACAAAACTGAGCTGGGTGTTTGGGATTCCAGAAGCTTCTCACCTGGTAAGGACATACTAGGAATCTCTATTGATTTAAATTGTGGGTAAATCATCTCACCTTTTTTGAAAAATTAAAAATGTGATAGTCGTCCTACTTCTATTTCTCTCTCATTCATTCAGACAGTCATTTACTTATCTTACAAAGATTTAAGCATTTAATCTATACCAGGCATTTTACTAGGCTTAGAGGATACCAAAATTAATAGAATACAGCATCTACCCTTTAAAAGAGCCAGTCAAGAATTTCCAGTAATGCCAGTTAAAGGTGATTGATATGGCTTGGCTGTGTCCCCACCCAAATCACAACTTGAATTGTATCTCCCAGAATTGCCACATATTATGGGAGGGACCTAAGGGGAGGTAACTGAATCAAGGGGGCCGGTCTTTCCCATGCTATTCTCATGGTAGTGAGTAAATCTCACAAGATCTGATGGGTTTATCAGGGGTTTCCGCTTTTGCTTCTTCCTTATTTTTCTCTTGCCACTGCCATGTAAGAAGTGCCTTTCACCCCCTGCCATGAGTCTGAGGCCTCCCCAACCATGTGGACCTGTAAGTCCAATTAAACTTCTTTTTCTTCCCAGTCTCCGATATGTCTTTATCAGCAGCATGAAAATGGACTAATACAGTGATCAATATAATAACGTTTACATAAACAAAATGCTAAAGCAGGTACAAGCAGCAGTGAGGAAGGATTTTTTGAGAGAAGAAAAAAAAAGAGTAGCATTCGATCCGAGTCACCAAATATGTGAAGAAGTTTCCCAGGCAAAGAGAACAGAGGAAGGGCATGCCCCAGGGAGAGCAAGACATACACTGCAGATGGAAAAGAGGGCATGGCATGTCCAGCAGGCAGCAAGGAGTAAGTTGTGTGTCATTGAGAGCTTACCACAAAGGTGGGCACCAACAGGAAGATCTTGGCAGCTCTCCCAAGGTGCTTAGACTTGATTCATTTCAACGACGGGGCTGCTATCAGACACCTTCACCCCTATTCTATCTGGTGAAGCCCAGGAAATTTAAGTAACTTGCCCAAGAACAAGTCTGTCAACAGTCAAATGGCTACCTGATTTTACTTACAGAAAGAAAAGCTGCCATCCTCCAAGTTGGGCTGAATTTTGAGTAGATTGAAATGTTGAGCTTATGGGGACACACAAGGCATCACTATAATGCCCTATCCTAAGATTTGCCTGTCATTCTTCCATGCATTTATTCAGTAGCTTTACATCAGTCTCTGCTTGATGTCAGCCACCATGTTAGGCCCTTGAAGTACAATTGTCATGGAAATAGACATATAAGAGCTTGCTGGTAAAGTTGAGAGGAGGCCAGGCAATACAATAAGTGCATGGCATCAGAGAATCCCCACAGCAGTGCCTCTTGACCTGGCCTAGGGGAGAGGTCCACTCGTTAGAAGTAAAGTGCCCTGGAGAGTCGCCTTCTGTGCCTCACTCAGTAAGCCCACTTGGATGTGGGCCAGACGAACCTAACAGCCAACATCCCGCCAACCAGAACTGCCATGTGGAGTGTCTGCATTCTCCCCCAGATGTGTGTTCCTGCCTGAATGTGCACTGATAGGAAGCAATGCCAGTCCTTCCGCATGTGACAAAGCTAATTCCAGTCACCACTTTCTCTCAGTCTAGAGCAATCTTTGAATCTTGTCCATAAAACTAATTGAAAAGGAAAGCAAATGCATTTCACTGAAAGGAAATCACAATGCTGTGGCTGATTCCATCATTTTTGTCAGTAGATGGGAAATTCAAGTGCAACTCCTATATATAATTACCCATCATGTCTTGAATACAAAATTATAGCTTCCACAAGTTAGACACATTTCACACACAAACACTGCCATGGTATAAAAAGACAGTTAGGCAATAAATTCCATAAATGGAGTGGATGAGCAGAGTTTTTTTTTAACCACTAATATATTTTATACATTACGATGATATGCATTCTGCAAATTTGTGATGTCCTTTAGGATAGGATTTCTATATTAGATTTCTTTTCCAATGATCACAAAATCTCTCCCACCTTCACTTATCCCCCCCAAAAGCTTCCCAGAGAGGCGGCAAGAGCACCAGATTAGAAGTCAGGAAATGTGCATTATTTCTTAGATTCTATCACAAATTACTTTTTGTTGGCAAGTTATGTAATCCCTGCTTAACGTTCTCATCTACAAAACGTGAACAGTGGCACCTACTCCACTGAACTCCCAACCTGCTGGGAAAAGCCCTGGATTTGGAGTTAAGAGGCTGAAGTTTGAGTTGGACTTTGCCACTGACTGGCAAATGACTTTGGGTAAATCACATAAACTCCCAGAGACCAAGGTAATTCACCAGTAAAGCGAGCCTAATTCCACCTGCCTCACAAATTTGTGCTGAGAGTTAAATAAAGTAAGCCAGAGTGTTTTATAAACCACAAGCACTTACAGTAGCATAAGGTATTATTAATTAGGATCAAATAAGATCTTATAACTGTAGTGTTTTGAGAAGCACATAGCACATGTGTCATTGAATTTCTTTTTCTTTTCTTTTTTTTTTTTTTTTTTTGAGACGGAGTTTTACTCTGTCGCCAGGCTAGAGTCCAGTGGTGCAAACTTGGCTCACTGCAACCTCTGGTGCACCTTGGGAGGCTCTGGTTCAAGCGATTCTCCCACCTCAGCCTCCCGAGTAGCTGGGAATACAGGTGCACACCACCACGCCCAGCTAATTTTTGGATTTTCAGTAGAGACAGGGTTTCACCATGTTGGCCAGGATGGTCTCGATCTCTTGACCTCGTAATATGCCCACCTCAGCCTCCCAAAGTGCTGGGATTACAAACATGAGCCACGGTACCCAGCCGTCATTGAATTTCTTATGCAGCCAACCATGCTGCGTGTATCTTCTACAATCAACCTTTAATGTCTCACACATTTTAGGGCTACCTCTTTTTATCATCACTGGGGAAAGACCAGAGGATCCTACACAGCAGGCTGCCTGAGCAGCTCAAGTTGCCTTGCACTGAGCGTGTCATAGGAAGCCTGGATGACACCAAGACTCAGCGACTGAGGAGACCTGGCCCGGCGCTACTCCTGTGTTGGGAAAGGTGGCATGGAAAAACGAGGAACTCCTTTCTGCTCGAGGAGTGATAAGGCGTGACAGCAAAAGAGGTTTTGTGTAATCTTCCCTTGCTACAGCCAAGCAAGTTCAGGGCCCAGGCCAAGACTTGTTCAACGAGAACCAGGTAGAACCTTTCAAGGCTAATGACACATGAGATTGACTTCAGACACAGTTTGATGAAGTTTCATTTCCTAAACCCAAGTTCATTCACCTCACTGCCCCACTTCGATCTGTCAGATATTCTAGAAGCACTCAGCTTTCTCCAAACTGACCCATGGATCCATAGCACAGTAGGCCATAAGGAGAACATACTGTCCAAACCTCTTCAAATGGCCCCAGCATGCCAGATGCCTTGACCAGGAGCGGTGGAAATAGCACTGGCATGTTCCACCTTTGGCCTTGATTTGTAGCAATGCACAGGTGGCGTCCACAGCACCCAGTGCCAACCCAGAGCACGAGGACACGGGCATCAATTTCACAGCCTGAGTTCCCTAAGGTAACTTTTATAACTCTGCTATAGTAGTTACTTTTCTAAAGGTCAAGATTTACATGTTTATTTTGACTAATGCTACTTGGAATAATCCAGATTGAGGAAAAAAGAAAAAAGAAAGAAAGAAATTGACAGAAACAGTTTAATCTTGTTTGCAAGTGAAATCTACAGCTCATTTTGGGAAATATCCTGTGAGAATTCTTCTTGATGTCATTGAGAGGGGGAAGAAAGAATGACTTTCAGTTCAGCATGGGACACCCAGGGGGCGGAAAACGCCAGTCCCACACAAGAACATCTGGTTGGCGAACACAAAGGAACATAACACCTGCGAACTCCTCATGTGTTTACTCTGTAACTAGTTGTCCATTATCCACACAAAATATGTTTTGGGGCTGGAAACCGGTTTGTTCCTGCCAAGAAAGTCTGGAGTGATAACGCAGCCTGTTTACCTTGGAATTCTCCCCATCCTAGCTAGCATGGGTGGACCCTGCTGAGCCAAGACAGCTTTGGAACATGTTTCTGCCTCATGCCTGTTTGCTGAGACTTCTATAAGTTTGGAGCTGGCAACTGGGACAGGGTGTTGGAGGATGAGTGTGTGGAGAATAACTGTTGGGCTTCAGGAGAGGGTTATGATATTATTTATTCCTCAGTGATGATTTCCTGGCAGGACTTTTCATGTCTTAGCCTCTGGAAGGAGTTGCATGTATCAAAAACAACACCAAAACAAACCATTTTAACACCCACACTTACAGGAAACTCTACCCCAGGGGTTGAGAGTTCTTCTAAAGGAAGAAGAAGGCCTGCCATGTGCAACTCTGCCCTTGGCAGTGTGGTTGTCAGCCCCCAGCACAATTTATTGGTCCTTCTTTGAAGCGCTCTTGGCCTCTAGAATGAAGCATCCCCCGAAGAGACCTAGCAGAAAGCAACCCTTGGCCGAAGAGTTCCCGCCATAATTCAGTCCCTCTCATTGTCAGGTGGGACGGCCAAACACAGCATCACTCCCTGTCACCACCTTGAGTCAAAATTTTAGCAGGAGACTAATGGGAACAGTGAATGCCATTGGCTTGGGGACAAATTGAAGCTTACAATGAAGAAGTGAGAAGAGGTATGTGGAAAAATAGCAGAACTCATATTTATTTGAGTCCTAGCTTTAAGCCAGTCTCAATGATTAGCACTTTGCATACTCTTTCTCGTATAATTTTCATAATAACTCTATTCTCCTACTAATTTTGTAGGCTAAAAAAGGAGGAACTCTCCCAGGGTCAAGTTATTTCGCCAAATAGAAAGGCTGGGGTTTCCACCCACATCTCTCTGGCTTTTTTCTGCTACATCACACAGTCTGCAAAATGAAGGTTGACAAGAACTGATATTCCTTTGCCTCCAAATATATCCAAAAAGTCCCATTGTAGTGCTGAGTTGCTTGTCTGTTTGTTTCAGATGGCTTAGCCAGGTCTCTATTCCTCTTTATCTCACCCTGAGAACAGGAAGAAAGTTAAAAGATCATGGGGATTGTGTTGAACTAGGAGTAAGAAGGGCTATGTCCCAGGCTTGCTTCTCTCACACTGCACTCAGGTCCTCAGTTCACACTTGTTTCACATGAGAGTGCTGGAATATGTGCTGTGATAGATGTTGGCTCTATTGTTTAAAGATGTTCGATGCATCTCTAGAAAATAACAGAAACAGGCCAATGATCATAGAAGAAATGAAGTAGAGTGAGGTGAGTTACACAAAGATGAGGTAGGCTGAGCACATGGGTGCAGGTGGAAGATGGGAAAGATGGAAGGATCAAAAGTTACACTAAATATACTTGAGGCACTCAAAATTCACTGGGACTTAAATTGCCCACTCATGGGGAACACCCATTTTGGTTCTGCCTATCCTCTGGCTAAAACAGGGGTCCTCAACTCCTGGGCTCCTGCCTGTTAGGAACTGGGCTCCACAGCAGAAGGTGAGCAGTGAGCAAGCAAGCATTAACCCCCTGAGCCCCGTCTCCTGTTAGATCAGCCGCAGCATTAGATTCTCATAGGAGCACAAATCCTCCTGTGAACTGCGCACGCGAGGAATCTAGGTTGCGTGTGCCTTATGAGAATCTAATGCCTGATGATTTGTCACTGTCTCCCATCACCTCCAGAGGAACTATCTATTTGCAGGAAAACAAGTTCAGGGCATTGATTCTACATTATGAGGAGTTGTATAATTATTTCATTATATATTAAAATGTAATAATAGAAATAAAGTATACAATAAATGTAATGCACTGAATCCTACCCCACCCTTGATTCATGGAAAAATTGTCTTCCATGAAACTGGTCCCTGGTGCCAAAAAGGTTGAGGATCATTGGCCTGAAACACAGATAAAAGCCAGCCGGCTCACTGGCAAGCTGCGGCTGGGACCAAGCACACCTGTCTCCATGGCTCACAAAAACAAATGCGTGTGTCTGCCTCAGGTACCTTCCATCTGTTGGCCCCCTTGTTATTAAATCTTGTCCTCTTCATAACCCCAGTGTCAGAGTGTGAGAGTGAGAGACAGACACAGAGAAAGGGGGTGGGGGGCTATACATATCGTCTAACACAGCAGTGGTCCTCAACCTTTTTGGCAGCACGGACTGGTTTCGTGGAAGACAATTTGACAATTTTTCCAAGGACTGGGGTGGCAGGGTGATAGTTTCAGGATGATCCAAGCGCATTACATTTATTGTGCATTTTATTTCTATTATTATTGTATTGTAATATATAATGAAATAATTATACAACTCACCATAATATAGAATCAGTGGGAGCCCTGAGCTTGTGTTCTTGCAACTAGACAGTCCAATCCAAGGGTGATGGGAGAGGGTGAAGATCATCAGGCATTAGATTCTCATAAGGAGCACACAGCCTAGATCCCTCACACGTGCAGTTCACAATTATCATAGGTTCCTGCTCCTATGAGAACCTAATGCCACCATTGATCTGACAGGAGGTGGAGCTCAGGGGTCATGTGAGCTCTGGGGACTGGCTGTAAATACAGATGAAGCTTTGCTTGCTCGTCCGCCCACCACTCACCTCCTGCTGTGTGGCCCAGTTCCAAACAGGCCACGGACTGGTACCAGTACCAGTCTATGGCTGGGGGGTTGGGGACCCCTGTAATACAAGACTGGAGTCTGGCCCTTTCAACCCTGCCTGTACCCTACCCCAGGTGTGTTAGTCTTCATCTCTTTCCCCTTACTTCTGTGTGTTTTAAACTAGTTTATTAAGCTGTCTGATGAGAACATCTTAATTTGGTATTTGAGGCTTTCTGTTCCCTACCTTCTGGGATGGTTTTTTTTGGTGATGCACTTGAAGGGCCCCACTGCATCCAGGTGATTTCCCACTTCACAGGGGACCTCCGAGACTCTGCCTCCCTTTAGCATTCTGTGGCTCTTGATCCTCAAAAGAGAGCAAATCCTGGTGGAATAATTCAATGGCAAAGAAAACCAAGTAAACCAGAGAAGATGAACATGATTTTTTTTAAAAGACAATGCTTATGAATTACTTCATGTCATTGGAATTTGTATTCGTTTCTTTAAAGCCCTCTCAGTGTACTTCGGACTTAGCCTGTCAGTTGGCGCTTTCACCGTCTCAAAGCCCTCTCACCCTGTGGCACCTACGTGAGCATCACACTCACCTTGTAAGGGTCTCAGAACAGACACAATTATTCCTGTTTCACAAGTGAATAAACTGCGCTCAAGCAAGTAGCATGAATTGCCTGAGGGTAGATTACTACTAAAAGATGAGTTCAGACCTAGAATACTCAACAAAGATTCTTTCCATTATACCATGTATACACTGAAATGTATTTAGAGTCCTATCCACATGCAGCAGGAATTGAAAGACAGGGAAGATAAAGCTAGGGAGGGAGGGACAGACAGAGAGAGAGAAATAAGACGGGTGGTCATGGATGATATGTATTTTACGTATGTGGTATATATACTACCATTTGTTGAAGGCCTATTTTGTGTCCAGTAATGCTATATGTGTTTTATCCACAGCATCTCTCTTTCTCAAAGTGCTAAGAGATCATATCACTCTCACTTCATCACTGATGAAAGGGAGACTCAGAGATGCTCCTTCAGTAACATGCTTGATGACGAGGAGAAAATGCAGATTTCCAGTGTAAGTCCGCTGACCCAAAGACCCGCTTTCTAAGATGCAATGATCATAATGATCACTACCAATTAAGAATCCATAAACTTGGCCGGGTGTGGTGGCTCATGCCTGTAATCCCAGCACTTTGGGAGGCTGAGGCCGGTGGATCACTAGGTCAGGAGATCGAGACCATCCTGGCTAACACGGTGAAACCCCCTCTCTACTAAAAATACAAAAAATTAGCCGGGCGTGGTGGTGGGCGCCTGTAGTCCCAGCTACTCGGGAGGCTGAGGCAGGAGAATGGCGTGAACCCAGGACGCGGAGCTTGCAGTGCGCCGAGATGGCGCCACTGCACTCCAGCCTGGGGGACAGAGAGAGACTCCGTCTCAAAAAAAAAAAAAAGAATCCATAAACTTTTTGAGTATGTTCTGTGTACTGGGTAGGGTTAAGCATTGCACATACACCATCTTAGTTCTTCTCATCATGGTCCTCAGAAAGTCCCTGCAACAAAGTGTCTCTTCTGTAAAAGAATGAAAAGTTGATGTGTTAAAGTGTAAATGGAAGGGTTTAGACACTTACAAATACGCAATGGAGAGCCATCAAAATACCTGTCAAGACAGAGACGATCTTTAACCTTTGACCTTGCCTTTTGACTCCTCCCAATACCTAATGTTAAATGACGAGTCAATGGGTGCAGCACACCAACATGGCGCATGTATACATATGTAACTAACCTGCACGTTGTGCACATGTACCCTAAAACTTAAAGTAAAATTAAAAAAAAAAAAAAAGAGGAGAGTATAAACCCAGTGATCACGACTTGTCATGGCAGAATAAACTGGGGAAGGGCGGAATTGGCGATTGAAAGAACCAAAGCTAACGTATGGGCTTTATTCGGATTCTGATTCTAACAAACCATGTATGAAAAGACATTGAATATGGACTGGGTGGTAGATGACATTAATAAATTCTTGGGTTTTTATTTTGTACAGTATGATTAAGTTACTGTGAATATTTAAGATGTTCTTATTTTTTAGTGATATATATGTACATGAAAAACTATCAATGAAATTCATAATTGTTTAGATTTGCTCTAAAATATTTTAGCAAAAAAAGATGAAGAATATACGATAATGAATGTTAATACTGTCAATAGTTGTTAATTCCAGTTGATGGATATATAGTGTCCACTGTAATATTCACTCTGGACTATTCTACCTTTACATGTTTGACATTCTCAAAATAAAAAGGAAAACTTTACATTGGTGACTGAATGAGGTTAGAGAAGGGAGCCAGGAAGGAAACCCTGGGGGTACCTAGAAAGACAGGGAAAATAATAAAAATAAGAAATGAACTACCTGAGTGAAGGGCTTAGTCTGGTAAAGTAGGGAATTGGGAAGGGTATACTTAGGGTTTCAGACTATGACTCCAGGGATTCACTTAAGCAGTAGTATTGACAAAAAATCAAGATGGCCACTTAGAACCCACCTCAGAATGAGTCAAGAAGAAAAGACTAATTGACCATTCAGTGTGCAAGTCACTGGGTATGTACCATTTCATTCATCCCCACCAACACCCCAAGAGGTGCATATAATTGTGCCCAAATGACAGATGAGAACACTGAGGCTCAGAGAGTTAAAGACCTTTGCCTAAGGTTCCACAGGCCCTGAGTCACAAAGGGGATGTGTGGAGAGGGGACAGGAGAAGCCTGTTGGGCAGGGGCTTTGGATCCAATGGAACTTCTGTGAAAGCCACAACCAGTTTGTTTTCACATTAATCTTCATTTGAAGATAAGGTTCTTGTAGCTTAAATAGATAACAAACATCAAAGGGTTAAAGGACTGAAGCTGAATGGATTAGCTTGAAAGACTTAACCCAAAGGTTACTGCAAACAAAAAGGAGAATCACAAATGAGAGGGCCCATAGGTGATTTTTATATTTTCTAAACCTGTGTCAATCTCAACCTCACCGCAAATACTGGTAAGATTTCACCAGCAACCGCATGCCATTTCTACCCAGAAAGTCCCTAACACTGTAGCAGCTTGCTTATGAACTTGAAATTGCCCGGCGGCAGGAGGAACAGGGATGAGAAGAAGGGAAGTGGGGAAAGAAAAAATAAATTAACTGGGCAAGGCCACACCTTGGGGTGTGGGCTTTGAAGAGGATGCAACCCAAAATGCAGCTGCACTGGAACGAGGGCCTCCAACTGGGGAGTCTTCAAGTCATGTGCAAAATGGCCTTTTAATGGATGGAGGAGGGTGTTTCTCTGCTTTCCCCCTTCCACTAGGGAAGTCGAGTCATACAGAGTCCTCGAGCCAGATGCAGAGTTCTGCACTGAAGTTCCTTGCATACATTTTCCGTGAATGTGATTAGCATCCCATCTGCCACAACTGTGGAACTCCCAGAAACTGTGCAATATAAAAAAATAATAATAAAAATAAGGTTGGGTTCCTGTTTTGGTGGAATCTTTTGCTCACTGTGTGGCCCTGAGCCAGTCAGGTGACCTGCTTGTGTACTGATAAGTCAAACCAGCTGGAAAATTGAGTAAGAAGCAAGGACTTCACTAGAAAACAGATGCTACAGCTGAGCTGAACTTTTTTTTCTTTTCAGCAAATAAACTGGGGGCCAACAGGAGAAGGGAGTGGTGAGTTGCTTTGAATATTTAAGATCAGCTCCAAGCTGAGAAACAGAGAGTGTTTATTAGACCCTCCTTCCATCACAGATTTTCTGTGGTCAGCCTGGCTGCCCCCTCCAGGGACAGCAAGCATAGCTCGTGGCCCCATTAAGGTCCAGAGATCCTCTGCAAGCACAATTGGACCACACTTGCCCTCCCTTTAAACAACTTAGCCCTTGAAGTGAAGGTCCCTCCGGGGTCAAATTTGTTAAAATAGCACCTCATTGCGGCTTTACTGGCTCCCTATTGTAAATTGCAAGCCCCTTTCCCGATGTTTATTTTTCACCAGAGCCTTCATTGCTGCCTATCATTTAATGTCATTTAATGTGTACGATTGTTTATGTTCTGTCTCGCCGGTAGAATGGAAGCTCCTCAAGGGAAGGGACTTTTGTCCATTTCATTCACAACTATATCACTAGTGCCAGGAACAGTCTCAATAACTAGTTTGTTTTCTCTGGACTTGAGAGCTGGGAAGAGTGAGTGTCAGAGTCAAGGTATACAGAAAAGCCACCTGTATGGTTAATAAATAATTGGTCCAGCCAGTCTTTAAGTAAGAGAATGCATTCCATCAAGTGCTCTCAGATTACAGCATGCCCCTGACGTCATAGCAACAGACCTACCGAAGGCCACGTGGCTCACACCTGGGATGCTGGGACCAGACTGGACTTTTCCACTTTATTCCCGCCTCCAGGCTCACTACCCTCCAATCCACCTCCACCCTGGTACCAGCAGGCTCTTTCTAAAATACCAACCTGAATCCATGGGTCCCCGACTGCTGCTCATCCCTTGAAAGAGAACTCCAGGCTCCCAGAAGACTTATCCTGGTCTGTCTCTACCCACATTTTTGTCTTGCTCCTGCCCTACCTCCGTAACACCCTCCACGCCAGACATACTCTCTTCCTATTGCACTTTGCCGGACGTATTGTGCTCTCCCTGTCTTCAAACATTGTCTCTGCTCTGCCCTGCCTAAAACTCCTCTCTCAGCTTCCAACACCTACTGGTTTATACCACTGAGCTCCACCACCAACTCCTTTCCAAATTCTTCCCTGTTTATTGTTGCCCTTCCCCCGGACGTTCCCCTGCATCTTGGGCAAACATGACAATACTGGGCGGCACTGTATTATAATTGCTTAGATGTTTCTCTCCCCTGGTAAATGGGTAGGGTCTTGAGGACAGGAATAGTCTTATTTACGCCTGTGCTTAGTCCAGGGCCAGACCTACATATAGAGTCTCCGCAACTGTCGAATTAATGAAAAATCAACTTGTTTTCCTTTCTCAGTTTTACTAGTTCCCTGATTTTCTTCACCTTCCCGCATCATTCTAATATATAGAATGGGTAATGAAAAGCTGCTCTAATACTGAAAAATAGTTCTCCATCAGTCTGAGGCTCCATGCAATGTGATATTCTGTGATTCTCTAACTCCCAAACAGAAAGTTATGGTTAGGAAGGCTGAATTTCTTTAGCTTAAAGGACTAAATCAAGCAGGTCTTTAGGTTTGCCATAGCATGTCACTGGAAAGCATTAATGTATGGGGGGAAGGGGGTAGGGTGTGGTGAAAGAGAGAAGAAAGTAGACCCTTAGTACAGCAGCCCAAGGAAAATCAAGGACCTGTAGAGGAGGGTGGATCCCATTCACCCCCACAACCCTCCACCCCAGCATCATGTCTTCTTAAAGTTCTCAAGGGCTTTAGGGGTTCCTGGTGGTCTCCAAAGTTTCCCCCAACAGCTCCCAAGATGGCAGAAGCCCCCTCCTTGGGAGCAGGAATTGCATGCTTATACTCCACCTGCAGAGGGAGGCCCCTCACCGAGAACCGGGCCCTATGGGTGCCCTTAGAGAAGGAGCTAATACTGAACCAGGATTGCACGGATCTTACAAGTATCTACTTCTCATGCCTCCAAGTGTACACATTGCAACACATTTTTAAAGGCTGGCCCTTGTTTCAAGATATATAGTTGCCAAGTGGAATTCATTTTCCAAAATTAATTTTGTTCAAGGCCGGAGGCAAGAGCTATCTAGAAACAAATGGATGAAATTTACTTTTCAAATGAAATGCACTGAAAAAAGATTTGCTTTTTCTCCAGCCTTTGGGACTTACGCTCAGGGAAGAATTAACAAAAGTAACACAGGCATTATTATTCAAAGCCCATCTCTTTCCTGCGGAATTCACCTTTGATGGGAGATCCGGCAAGTTCCTAACTGCAGGGGGGCTAACAGTGGCAGTGTGTGGATTCAGAAGAGCATTCAAAGACTTGGGATGGGGCCTTTGTCTCCCCATTCCCCCCAACACGCCCCTGTGCCTTGCTTTTGCTGTCTGTTCCTCAGCCTAATGCCATTCAAATTACTAAAACATTGTCCTTTCCCACCTCTGTGAATGTGAGCTATTCTCCTACACGGCTCAGGTCTAAGCTTGCTTCTTAAACAATGGATCTAAGTACCATGTGGGCAGGGACTGTATGCTCTTTAGTCAACCATGCATTGGCTCCAGTACCCAGCCAGCACCTGGAACAGAGCAGGCACTCAGGAAATGTTTGCTGAAGAATAAAAGCCAGGCTGCATGATTTTCTTTGTTAATTCTGACCCCTCTGCCTCAATTTCAAGCCAAGAAAAGGTGGCCCAACGCCCCAGCGTGTGTTCTTCAAAATGCCTTTACAACTGTTATTTTCCAATTGACTGTGAAAATGACTAAACTCCCATGACCAGTAGGAAAGAAAGAAAAAACTTGCTTCCATGGCCCCACGCCCAGCAAACCCACTGGTAGTGATGGAGCAATTGACAAAATGCCCAGCCCAGGCAACCAGGTGGAAAAAAGATTACTATTACCTTAGTCATTTTCTTTATTCAAGAGAGTAGCTTTCCTGGGGCTGGTTTCCACTCACTGATCTTCCTTAGACACCATATCTCTTTCCTTTTTTTTTTTTTTTTTTTTTTTTTTTGAGATGGCGTCTTGCTCTGTCACCCATGCTGGAGTGCAGTAGAACCACCTTGGCTCACTGCCACCTCCGGCTCACTGCAACCTCTGCCTCCCAGGTTCAAGTGATTCTCCTGCCCCAGCCTCCCCAGTAGCTGGGGTTACAGGTGTGCGCCTCCACACCTGGCTAACTTTTTATATTTTCAAACCATAGGGTTTGATTATCATTAGGTAAATTGAACCAAAGAGACGGAGTTTCACCATGTTGGCCAGGCTGGTCTTGAACTCCTGATCTCAAGAGATCCGCCTCCCTTGGCCTCCCAAAGTGCTGAGATTACAGGCATGAACCACCACACCCAGCCAAGATCATATCTCTTACTTAAAAAACAGTCAGTGTTTTCAAACCTTTTCTACCTATTCACCTCTTTCTTTCTAAAGACCTTAATTTATATCACAATTTCCAATACTCATAAACCTTCTCTTAGGTCCTGTAATCGAAAATCCTTCACAAGTCCGCATCAGTTGCCTAGGGCTGCTGTAACAAAGTATCACAAAATGGGTGACTTAAACAACAAAAACGTATTCTCTCACAGTTCCAGAGGCTAGAATCCAAAATCAAGGTGCCAGCAGGGTTGGTTCCTTCTGAGGGCTATCAGTGACGGGTCTATTGCAGACTTCTCTCCTTGGCTTGTAGATGGCCACCTTTTCCCTGTGTCTCTTCACACCGTCTTCCTCTGTGTGTGTCTGTCTGTGAGTCCAAATTTCCCCTTTTTATAAGGACACCAGTCATACTGGATTAGGGCCCACCCAAATGCCCTCATCTTAACTTGATTACCTCTGTAAAGCACCTATCTCCAAAGAAGGTTTCATTCTGACGTACTGGAGATTGGAATGCCAACATATTTGGGGAAGGAGGGATGCAATTCAGCTTATCACAATCTTTCTGTATAATTTGAAGCACACATACTAAGACTTAGAGAGATCACATAAAGACACTGTTGAAAAAGAAAACTCCTTGTAATGCTAAAAATTAGCTCATTGTAGAGATCAACAACTCCTTCAGCTCCAACCCTCAAACTATAAATAAATAAATATATACATACATAAATAACCATATCCCCAAATGCCTAATTGAAGGAGCCCAATCCTGTCTGCTGCACTTTTTCATATCTGATGGCTCAATGACATTTGTTCCTCCTACTTTATCAGACCCAATTTTTGATAAATATCAGAAATATTAATTATCATATATTAAATATTAAATAATATTAAGAATAAATATCAGACCCAAATTCAGGGCTGTGAACATAAAATAAACCATAGGGTTTGATTATCATTAGGTAAACTGAACCAAAGAGGAGTGCTTTCCTAATGGAGGGTCAGTAAATCAGGCACAAATTGCACCATGCAGCCGATGAAGCCAGCGAGCAAGCAGACCTGCTCCCAGCGGTTCACACGAAGACTGGAGAATGGCCGGCATATCACATCCAGGCTGTGTGACAAAGGACAAGCTCAGTGGTCAGAGAAGGACACCAGCAAATGGTAGAAGTAGAATTACCCTGTTAAAGGTAGGCATGTATGTAGTTTGAATAGGTAGCACCAAGCAGTTTTACAAAGCTGCAGTACACGCTTATACTCCCATCAGTAGGATCTGAAAGTCCCAGTTTGAGGAATAAAGCTGGATGCAAGTTGCCCTCAGCATCCCAGTGGGCACACTAGGGGTCCACCCAAGGGGACGGAGAAGCTTGCAATGCATCAAGCAACTCTACATGTAGGCATTTTCTAATCTACTTTCTGACCAACATGCTATTCCCTCCTCTAGAAGGTTGGATGGAGGAACATAACTGAATGTGTTAACAGGAAGTACGAGCTGAGCAAACAATAACTGGATGCAAAGCCGGACTTTGCCAGCCGGCCAGCATGTGGGGCCTGGCTCATGGGACTAAGGACCAGGAGGGCTGACCCGAGGTCAAATGGGTGCTGCACACTAATACTAGTGCCTTTGGATACCTTCTCTTGCAGAAGTCCTGCAGAGCCAAATATTTCTCAGGTCTACTTCATCAGTTATCAGCCGTTCAGCAGGCGGCCACGAGCGCAGGTTTTGGGACTATCAGAGCTTCATGGGGGAAATGCCAAGGAAATTACAGTGCTCTCAAATCTCTCCCACAACCAACATCAGCACACACTGGAGAACGTGTGCCTTTCATATCTATTACAATATCAAGTAAGAGATAAAAAGTAAGACCAAACCCACTAGTCAAATATCCTTGCTGAACCTTCAAAGACCATTCATAGGACATCAAAAATGGCTATTCTTCCAAAATATTCAGGTTTCCTGAAAGGCATGGCAGCAGGAGAACACATTTAACAGTGAATTCTTTAACAATATAAAGAGCAGTAACAGAAGAAAACATTGACTGTGGCCTAGCACTTTTCACATACGCTGTCCTTTACTCTTCAAAATGGCATTTTGAATTGAGCAGAGTTGGTATTATTATCAAGATGCCTTCTTTTGATAAAAGGGCTTTCTCCTGATCAAAACAAATCTGAAAATAGAAGGTACAAACTTCATAAAATTGAAAAATGTCAATTATTAAGAAAATGTTAAATGCTAATGTATTTGTTTCATTTATTTTTAAAACTGAAATGAGAGCTTGAACAAAGGAATATAAGCGTGCAACTAAATGCAGGGTGTTCTTGCACATGACCATCGTAAAAACACTTTGAAATTTGAACATCTCTTTGCAGAGATTCAGGTATTTACCATATGTTTGACCAATAACCATGAACACAAGTCTAATTTTAAAAAGAAAAAGAGACCTGACCTTTTAGAGAGGTGGTAAACTTCTGGATTGCCATATAAACCAGTAAATGCGTTGAACAGAGACAATTTACTTTGATAACAGCTGTTTCTCCAGGAGAATTTATTTTAAAACTGCCTGGCTTTCAAAAATCTGCCTTTCTGTTTTAAGACTGAAAAAGGTGCCTTTACCAGAACTTTCAAGTGTTTCAGTGTGGGTTCAGGTTCAGGTGAAGAACCAGTTTGAGGGAGCTAGGTTTTCATTTTATCTGTACCAGTTCATACAACCTACTGAACAAAGAATTATAGGCAGGTGATATCTGAGTCTTCTACAAGATGTGTGTGGGGATCCAGAATTCACCTCAAAGGGACTCTCCAGGTTGGCTTGCCTTATGGAAATATCTATAGCTTCAGGCTCTACTGGAGTCCTTTTATTAGAATTATTTACTGCTGCAAAATCAGGAAGTCTTATATCACCAGCAGACAATTTGATTGTCAGAGGTGTTCAAACCAGAGCGACTCCATCTTGAACAGGTGCTGGGTACAATGAGGCTGAGACCTGCTGGGCTGCATTCCCAGGAGGTTAGGCATTCTAAGTCACAGGATAGGATAGGAGGTCAGCACAAGATACAGGTCACAAAGACCTTGCTGAAAACACAGGTTGCAGTAAAGAAGCCAGCCAAAACCCATCAAAACAAAGATGGCAACAAAAGTGACCTCTGGTCATCCTCACTGCTCATTATACAATAATTATAATGCATTAGCATGTTAAGACATTCCCACCAGTGCCACCATACTTTACAAATGCCAAGACAACCTCAGGAAGTCACCCTATAGGGTCTAAAAGGGGGGAGAACCCTCAGTTCCAGGACTTGCCCACCCCTTTCCCAGAAAACTCATGAATAATCCAACCCTTGTTTAGCATATAATCAAGAAATTACGAGAAGTATTCTTAGTCCAGCAGCCCTTGGGGCTGCTCTGCCTATGAAGTGGCCATCCCATATTCCTTTACTTTTTTTTTTTTTTTTTTTTTTTTGACAGGGAGTCTCGCTCTGTCGTCCAGGCTGGAGTGCAGTGGCACGATCTCGGCTCACTGGAAGCTCCACCTCCCGGGTTAACGCCATTCTCCTGCCTCAGCCTCCCGAGTAGCTGGGACTACAGGCGCCCACCACCACGCCCGGCTAATTTTTTGTTTTGTATTTTTAGTAGAGACGGGGTTTCACCGTGTTAGCCAGGATGGTCTCGATCTCCTGACCTTGTGGTCTGCCCACCTCGGCCTTCCAAAGTGCTGGGATTACAGGCGTGAGTCACCGTGCCCGGCCTGTTCCTTTACTTTCTTAATAAACTTGCTTTCACTTTATGGATTTGCCTCAAATTCCTTCTTGGTGAGATCCAAGAACCCTCTCTTGGGAGTCTCTATGGGGACCCCTTTCCGCTAACACAATCACTGAATACAAATAAGCAGCCTTCTGCCCAAGGGCCAAAAGGGAAGCTCTCTTCCCCATTTACAGAGGGACAGAGTCATGGAAAGGGGTGCAATTTTGATGCTAAGTTTTGACGTGTGTCTCCTGATGCAGGAAAATGGATTGACCTAAGAATCCTTGTCTCATTCGGGTGACCAGTCAACACCAAAAGTATCTGAAAGAAACAGCAGTCATCACGGTCACATGGCCCCCTATTAAAGAAAAAAAAGTTGATCCTTATCTGCGTGGGTCAACCCAAGACCATCCCAGCTATTACTTTCTCATTATTGCCTATGTCTGAGAGTAACCTTGTAGCTAAACAAAACCGGCAGGGCAATTGCATTTCAAAAGTCTCTTAGAATCTAGACTCCATGGTAACCCTACCCCTTCCGCTTCTGACCTCCGGGGGAGGAAATTGGTGTCCTCTGCTTCTAGAGGAAGTGAATTAATTCACAGAGGCCCTGCATCACAAGCTGAAATTCTATTCTGTTTGTGTGCAAAACGCTTCCCTTTTTTTTCTTTTTTTTTTTTTTTTATCATTTTGTTATTGACACCAGTAGACAGTGATTTCATTGACCTAAAAGTGAAGTCGGCCGGGCGCAGTGGCTCACGCCTGGAATCCCAGCACTCTGGGAGGCCGAGGCGGGCAGATCACGAGGTCAGGAGATCGAGACCATCCTGGCTAACACGGTGAAACCCTGTCTCTACTAAAAATCCAAAAAAATTAGCCGGGCGTGGTGGTGGGTGCCTGTAGTCCCAGCTACTCGGGAGGCTGAGGCAGGAGAATGGCGTGAACCCGGAGGCGGAGCTTCCAGTGAGCCGAGATCAGGCCACTGCACTCCAGTCGGGCGACAGAGAGAGACTCCGTGTCAAAAAAAAAAAAAAAAAAACAAAAAAGCGAAGTCACCAGAATTGTCTTTTTAAAAGGAAGACAATATGAAAAATATGTTGAACTTATGGTCAGTAAAGAGATGCCTGGCACATTGCTGATTACTCACAGCTCTTTTTTTCAGCCTAACCTCCTATAAAGATTTCATCAAGATGCTTCTGATCAAGAGCATCAGAATATGCTCCGTATATTTGAAATATTTACCTTTACAGAGCTTTTTAAAAAATCTCTCAGCTCCCCAGTCTGAGGGAAATAAACTGTCCTCTAAATGAGGTCTAATATTCCATAGCTCTGTTTAAGGCCACAGAGGGCTGGCTTTCATTCCTGTGTCCAATGACGAATTTTTGAGAGTATTGGGCAAAGCACTCTCTTTCTCCACATCTGAAATCAGATCACAAAAAAAGATATAGGGCCAGGCGCGGTGGCTCACGCCTGTAATCCCAGCACTTTGGGAGGCCTCGGCGGGAGGATCACCTGAGATCAGGAGTTCGACATCAGCCTGGCCAACATGGTGAAACCCGTCTCTACTAAAAATACAAAAAAAAAAAAAAAATTAGCCAGGCATGGTGGCACATGCCTGTAATCCCAGCTACTCAAAAGGCTGAGGCAGGAGCATCGCCTGAACCCGGGAGGCAGGGGTTGCAGTGAGCCGAGATCGCGCTATTGCACTCCAGCCTGGGCGACAAGAGCAAGATTCTGTCTCAAAAAATAGATATAGATATAGATATAGATATAGATATAGATATAGATAGATAGAAAAAGTCCTAGGCATCCATGAAAAGGAGGTGTTTGTGATTATTTCTTTTTAGAATAAATGAAGTCACATTGCAAATGGGTACAGGGCTTCTTTTTAGGGTGCTGAAAATGCTCTAAAATGTGTGCTCACAATTCTATGAATATATTAAAACTATGGAATTGTACACTTTGATGAATTGTATAGTATGTGAATTACATTTTAATAAAATTGTTACATTAACGAAGAGAAATTAAGCCGTAATGATAGTTTAATTATAATACAATTATTTTTAAGAACTAAGCAATACTACAAATCACTTTCATAATATTACTACCATAATAATATCACACATTAAACATATGGTACTTGTTTGGGAAGGAAATATTTGAAAAGATAATAGTTGTAGTTTTGATACGGCCCCTATGAGTGGAGGAGCACCAGGGCTCTTGTCTCATGCCAAATTAGATAGGATGACACACACGTGAAGTGAATTTAAGGAGCGGAGAGTTTAACAGGCAAGAAAGAAGGGAGAAGAAAGAAAGAAGCTCCCCTGTACAGAGGCAGAGGGAGGGGGGGTCCAAAACCGAAAGAGTAGATCCCATGTGCCGTGGATACCAGCCAATTTTATGAGGAGGCTGGAGGAGGTGGTGCCTGATTTGCATAGGGCTCACCGGATTGGTTTGACCAGGCAGGTCATTCGCGTAGCCCGTGAAAAAAAAACTGGCCCTCCCACCCCAGTCTTTTAATATGCAAATGCAGGGCTCCATAATATTCTACACACGTGGGGATATGTGGAGGCGGCCATGTGGCCAGGCACATATTGGGGCAAGGGCAAGAAGACAACGGTAGGAATCGTCATGTTTGGGTGGACGCAGTTTCTAATGGCTTGCGTTTGCATATCAAAGGTTGCCTGCCCAGTTCTAAGAGCTAGGTTTTCCCACTAGACAAGAAACGTTTCTGGAGCTGCTTTAAAACAGAGGAAAACTTTCCGAGGATCCCTTTTCCTCTCTACCTGCCTAAAATAATTTCTTAATAACTCCTAGAACAGTTTGACTACCTCAGCAATAGTGTTCTAAAAATGTTCCACTGAAATACAGAATAAATTTTCAATCTATACATGCTATGTAACACAATATTATTTATACTATTGTTGTGATTTTCTTTAGCCAAGCCTATGGAGAAAGGGCTCTGTGTCAACCAGGTCCCATGATACCTGGGACATTGAAGAAGCAGCTGGCACCGTTTTGGTGGAAAGCAGTCATCGCATACTGTTTATATCACTGCTGCACCATCATTGAGACTTGAAACATGATTTTTAGCTACTTCAGTGAATCTGTTATCTGATAGGTATGACAGTAAACTGGCCCACCCCTTTAAAAAAGGAATATAGCCATAGGTATAAAAAAGTTTTAGAAGATATCCATATACTTGACTCTGTTTTCACACTTGTAGAAATGTATCCCAATGAAATATAAAGAACTACAGCAAAAACATCTATACAGCATCACTTGTGCTAACAGACATTAGAAAACAACCTAGGTAGGTATGTAGGTATGAAAATTATGAAAAATCCACTTTATGGTATATTATGCAGCTACTAATTTTTTCCATTATGTCAAAAGCAAAAAGACTTTTAAATAACCAAATATATCCTATAATCCCAACCCTTTTAAAGATACTATGTGATGGTTTTAAAGACACGCCCACGCACTTTACTTTCCTCCAAAATCGCTGAGGCCTCGACTTACTCACTGCTAAAAAAAAAGTGGGGGGACTCTGTGTGTGTGTGTGTGTATATATATATATATCAAATATATATATATTTATATAGCAAATATATATATATTTGCTAAGTTAAACATTGTACTTTTACTACATTGATTTTAAACTTTTCTTTTAAGAAAACTTTTAAGAAAAGTTTAATAATCAATGTAGTAAAAGAGTACAATGTTTAACTTAGCAAATGCTAAAGGTGAGCAAAGGGAAACGGAAAAGGAATACATATGTCTCCACAAAATTGGGGAGAATACCTACTTCCAGATCAAGCAGTGCTGGGCAGTCCCAGAAACAGCCCTCTGAGGACTCTGTATATTTTTAAATGAAGAGTGCTGTTTTTCCCTAAATCAATCTGGCCTGGTATATGACAACATTTTTTTAAAAAAACTGAAAGATAGAGCCTAAAAACTTGCCAACCAAGCAAATAATTACGCTGAACCCCCCTGGACACTCTCTAATTGGATGTCCTGGGTACTCCCAATTCTTAGTCCTTTAATATCTATTTTTCTCCTTCTTTTATTCAGACCTTGTGTCTTCCGTTTCGTTTCTCAATTCACACAAAACTGCATCCAGGCCATCATCAATCATTCTATACAACAAATGCTCCTTCTAACAACCCCACAGTATCACCCCTTACCCCAAAATCTTTCTTCAGTTTAATCTCTCCCACTCTAGGTTCCCACGCTGCCCCTAATCCCGCTCAAAGCAGCCCTGAGAAACATCACCCATTATCTCTCCATATCACCCCCAAAATTTATCACCGCTCCAACACTTCATTATTTTGTTTTGCTTTTCTTATTAATATAAGAAGACAGGAATATCAGGCCTCTGAGCCCAAGCTAAGCCATCATATCCCCTGTGACCTGCACGTATACATCCAGATGGCCTGAAGCAACTGAAGATTCACAAAAGAAACGAAAATAGCCTCAACTGCTGACATTCCACCATTGTGATTTGTTTCTGCCCCACCCTAACTGATCAATGTACTTTGTGATCTCCCCCACCCTTGAGAAGGTTCTTTGTAATTCTCCCCACCCTTGAGAATGTACTTTGTGAGATCCATCCCCTGCCCCCAAAACATTGCTCCCAACTCCACCGTCTATCCCAAAACCTGTAAGAACTAATAATAATCCCATCACCCTTTGCTGACTCCTTTTTCGGACTCAGCCCGCCTGCACCCAGGTGAAATAAACAGCCTTGTTGCTCATACAAAGCCTGTTTGGTGGTCTCTTCACACGGACGCATGAGACAGCCCACAAACTCTTTGATAGCTTTTTTTAAGAAATGTAACTTAATTTCTTAGTGACTTAGTGACTTGCTTCTAGTGAATTGAATTGAGAAGTGATGGAATGTCAATTCTAAGATTGACTGGAATTTCCATGTGTAGGTTCAGTCTCTCTCTCTCTCTCTCTCTCTCTCTCTCTCTCTCTCTCTCTCTCTCTCCTCACCCCCCTTCCTCTCTTTCTCTTTTTCTCCCTCTCATCACTCACTCTGGAGGAAACCAGCTGCCAAAGATGGAAGCCACCTGCCATGTTGTGAGGACACTCAGGCACCATATGGAGAGGCCCACGTGGTGAGAAACTGACACCTGCCACCAGCCATGTGAGTAAGCCTGGAAGCAGGTCTTCTGGGGTCTGCCAGCAGCCATGTGACCATCTTGGAGTGGCTCCTTCTGCAGTCATGCCTGGAGATGACTGTAGCCCTGGCAAACAGCTTGATTGCAGCATCATGAGAGAGCCTGAGTCAGAACTACCCCACTAAACGGCTCCAGGGCTCTCAGTCCAGAGAAACGGTGAAATCATGTTTGTTGTTTTAAACCAGTAAATTTGAAAAAAATCTCTTACACTGCAATAGTAACTGAAGCAGGTAGCAGAGAAAAAAATTACATGAGGGCATATGAAAATGCTAACAGAGGTTTATTAATCAGATGATAAAAGCTTTTCCTTCCTTTTGTCTCCCTTTTCAAGTAATCTATAATTAAAAGAATTAATTATGACCTGCTTGAAAGAGATTTTAATTCCTTTATTACCCAAACGGTAACTTAACTCTTTCTCAACCCCTATGTATCTGAAGGATGTGAACTTTGTTCTTGTTCAGAGATACAAATGAAGTAGAGGAGGGGAATGGCTGTCCTGTTAAGACATGGTTGCTCAAAACACAGGCACCAATGCATGTGCCTTTATATACTGTTTCTTTTTAAAGATGCTACTGACTCAGCAACAGCAAGGCAATCATTGAACTGTTTTCCCGGTCATTTTAGATTTTATCCTGATGCATCCACATTCTGTTACTCAGCAGTTTTTTCACAAATGCTACGCATTTGTAAGAAGGCCATGTATTGGCTTTGTAATCTTGGCTACTTAAAGTCTCTCTATCTCAGTTTCCTCATGTGTAAAATGGTGCTAATCTTACCTTTCCCTTACAGTGTTGGTGAGAAATAAAATATGCAAAGCATCTCATGTAGGATCTGACATACAAGGGCTTTGCAGAATTAGCTATTATCATTGTGCATTTAAAGAGAAACTTAAACAATAGGTGCATCTGAGCAGTTAGTTTAATGGGTAAGCTATGGGCTAAGGAATCAGAGCAGGTAACAACAGGCCCAACCAAGCCACATTAACTGAGTTTGCAAATACCAGATCCCTTATCTAGGTTCCTTTTTCAGGAAAAATGATTCTACCGACTTGTTTGTAGAATGAATTTGTCACTGCTGGAAAGTTGTTGCAGGGATCTGAGGCTTGTGCTCATTTCCATTTGCCTTGATAGGATTTAAATTTTTTTAGTCCTTAAATTATGAATGTTTATTTTGTTTCTATTTAAAATGGATCTTCGAACTTAGGAGGGTGTGCCTCCAGCCCTTCCAAAGCCAAGAAGTATGATCGATCGGGCACCCAATCTTCAGTAAAGAAGTAATTGGATGAATACTGCTCCTGATGAACCGTGAGCTCCCTGGGCTTACAGGCCACCTGGGCTAATTATTCTTAAGAAGCAATTTGCATTTAATCACAGAGTGAATCATTTCACTCCAAAGGTGGTGTGTCCTAATAATAGGGCATTTCTCCTCATTCATCTTTCAGGGCAGAGGACATTTTCAGTTTTTAATTAAACACATAAAAAGGTGAAAGCACATGAACCTGGCTAAATCAGGGAGCATGTATTTTCAAGAAATCAGCTAATGCTCCTCTTACTCAGGAAATCACACCTATTTCGGCTACACAGAGCGGATCAACCATAATCGTGATGGCATTACCAGGAGGCTGGACTGCAGTTTCCACTAGGGCATAACTGAGAAAGACATCCAACACACAGAGGAGTGATGGAAGCTCACCAGCTGCGTTGGAGGGCTCTGTCTTCCACCCCCAGACAGCTGGTGACCTGAGCCCATTGGGTGTTGAGTTTTGACCATCCCCAATAAGGAAAAATGAAAATAAATTTAAACTTCCAAACATTTATTTTCGAAGTATAAGCACATGAGCTCCTCACTAAGACAGTATTGATATCACTGGAATTAATCAGTTCAACTCATTGACTAGACTTAGTTCTAAGCAAAACAGCAGACAAGAAAGGGAATATACAGGAGAGAAAAATTGCTTTAGGAGCCCAGTAACGCAGATTCTAGTCCCGTTTCTGTCACTTACTAGCTGTGTGACCTTAATTAATTCTGCTATCAACTTTGCTGGAAAATGGTTAAATGGGCCCAAAGCTTGTGACCATTTCCATGTGCCTTGATGGGATTTTTTTTTTAATCTTCACATTTTGAAGATTGATTTTTTTTTCCAACTAAAACTGTTTTCTGAACTTAGAAGGGTGTGACTCCAGTTCTTAATTCCCTTCTGTGTAGAAGAAAAAGGGTGAATTAATCCAATGGTACTTAATTAAAAATATGAATCAGAATCTCCTGAAAATATTGTCGAATTCTCAAGCCAGACTTTATTTTGGACACTATGATCCAGCACTTCTGGGACTGGGGTCTTGGCACTTGCCCCGTGAAAACCATTTCTAGGTGATTCAGATACACATTTGAACCAATGGCAGGATGAGCTCTGGGATGTTAGGATGATTAATTTTGTGTGTCAATTTGACTGGGCACAGGGTGCCCAGATTAAACATTGTTTCTGGGTGTGTCTGCATGGGTGTTTCTGGAAGACATTAGCATTTGAATCAGTGGACTGAGTGAGAAAGATCCACCCTCACCCAATGTGGGCAGGCACCATGCAATCCGCTGAGGGCATGAATAGAACAAAAGGTGGAGGAAGGAGGAATTTGTCCCTTTTTTCTTGCCTCACTTCTTGACCTGGGACATCTCATCTCATCTCTGGCCTTCAGACTGAGACTTAATTATACCACCAGCTTGTCTGGGTCTCCAGCTTGCTTGCAGATGGCAGATAATGGGACTTCTCAGCCTCCGTAATTACATGAGCCAATTTCTTACAATAAATCTCCTTTTACATAAGCCTCACTTCACTCCGTCCAAGGTTAGTCCTGGGGTTCTCATATCAGAATGAACTTCACCAGTTCTGGAGAAGGCAGCTTTCTCACAGCAGGATTAGGCAAGTGTGTGGTATCACCTTAAAGAGAGTCTGAATGAAAACACACCAGTGTTATGGACTAGTTTGTGTGTGTATGAGCAAAACTGCTTTATTGCTCAACATTGTTCTGATTCCCAGCTACTGGCGAGTTATAAGATCTAATGTCAGCCAGGCACGGTGGCTCACCCCTGTAATCCCGGCACTTTGGGAGGCCGAGGGGGGTCGATCACAAGGTCAGGAGATTGAGACCATCCTGGCTAACACGGTGAAACCCCGTCTCTATTAAAACTACAAAAAATTAGCCAGGTGTGGTGGCGGGCGCTTGTAGTCCCAGCTACTCTGGAGGCTGAGGCAGGAGAATCTCTTGAACCCAGGAGGCGGAGGTTGCAGTGAGCCAAGTTCAAGATCGCACCACCGCACTCCAGCCTAGGCAACAGAGAAAGACCCCATCTCAAAAAAAAAAAAAAAAAAAAAATCTAATCTCCTGATGCATTGCAATTACAGACCTAGGTCCAGATGAGATGACAGAAGGGAACATGTGAACAATTATTGAGCATCCAAACATTACAGGGGCTATTTCTTTTTATCAGCGATACAATCCTTTGAGTTATCCCTATTTAACATGCAAGAAGAATGACAAGGGAATAATTGTGTCACTTAACCAAGGTGAACAGCCAGGGCTATGAAAACAAAGAAGACGGACATGAAGTGCTGAACTATAACTCTCCTTGTTAATGCAAAAGGTCTGCGTATGGAAAGAAATGCGAAGGACTGACGGACAGAGAGAAGCTAGCAACTCTCACAGCTAGGTTCTTAACACATCCATCATACCTGTCTCCATTTGAAATGAATTTCATTTTTTGAATGAATATTGACCAAGCTTTGGTTCACAAGGAAGAGACCTGAGACTTACAAGTAATCAAACTTGGAGAGGCCATTACATTTGACAATACAGCCAGAGCATTTGTTCAGGAACACAGAAAGGCATATGACTTTGAAAACTGATAAAGAGGTCATGACCAGGGCCAGCTTCACAGGTGTGTAAGGTCAGTCACACAGGGCACTGCACTTGGAAGGCCCCATGCTTGGTTTAATGCTCCACCGTCACCATCTTGAAGTTCTGAATCCTTTTTTTTTTTTTTTTGAGACAGAGGAGTCTCGCTCTGTTGCCCAGCCTGGAGTGCAGTGGCGCGATCTCAGCTCACTGCAAGCTCCACCTCCCAGGTTCACACCATTCTCCTGCCTCAGCCTCCCGAGTAGCTGGGACTACAGGTGCCTGCCACCGTGCCCGGCTAATTTTTTGTAGTTTTAGTAGAGATGGGGTTTCTCTGTGTTAGCCAGGATGGTCTCAATCTCCTGACCTTGTGATCTGCCCGCCTCGGCCTCCGAAAGTGCTGGGATTACAGGTGTGAGCCACCACGCCCGGCCAGCTCTGAATACTTTTTTAAAATGAGGCCCTGCATTTCCATTTTGCACTGGCCCCCACATGTTATGTAACCAGTCCTAGTCATGGCAATTGTTCAAAGAAATAAAATATTAAGGATATTTTCCACTGGATGAGATTTTAACATTTAGAGTTTGTGACGTAAGTCTTGTTGACTGTGGGGAGGCTGATTTCACCCCCATTAGTAGGCTGCAGGGCTAGGATGTCGAGGCTGGGTCCAGAGCCTACGAACCCAAAGCTGGGAGGGAAAGTGACTTCCTGAGCCAGAAGGACCAGCCACCAGGAGCCTGAGCCCTCTGCTGTTGTTAGCTGGATCTGCCAAGGTAGCAGGCCCTGGCCTTCCAGAGTGACACTGGCTGCTGCTAGCAGGGAGCCTGCAGAAGTTTCTACCCGGGCAAAGAAGCACACCATGATCAGACAGGGGTTATGTTCTCCTTGGCCAGACTAACTCTAGTTAGCATATTAGCAAGTTTGGCTATCTCTGTAGGGCCCTTACAGCCCCGGAGTGCCAACCACAGGAAAAACTGTGAGTGCAGAGGTGTGTTGGTGTGCAGGGATGGAGAGTAGAAACAGATGAGGATGTCAGAAGTTCAGGCTCGAAGTCAGGATGGAGGCCACCACGCCAGGGACTGTGGGGAGGTCTCATGTCATGCTTGCTACTCGCCCAAGGTTCCTTTGCTTACTCCATGGCGGTGCTCCTCATCTCTGCTTAGGAAAAGTGTAAATGTGAAACACAAACCTTGAGTCAAATCCATGACATCAAGTCTGAGGAGCAGGGAAAGAAGAATAGACTGAGGCATAGTATTTACCTGGCTCCCAAGAGAACCAAGGCTTCAAGGGCAGGGTTGGGGGACAGAAGCAACACAGCAAGAAACAGCAAGGATGAGATGGTCACATGCTACAGGGAAAGAGGGAAGGAGGGATGGAATGACACCCTGACTGCAGGATCCCAGGAAGAAAGCTGTGGAAGAACGCAGCTCCTGGCAGGCACTCCACCCCGCAGCCAGGCACTTTAGCAGGCTCAGTCTCAGGAGCTGCATGCCCAACAGAATGCCCTGTGGCCACCGCCAAATAATGTGCTTGAAGTGGCCCAAAGGAGCAGCCCCTGTCCGTGCAGTTGAGCAAGAAGCCACTGGAGCATTCTGAGTCTCCTCAGTAGGGTTGCCAGATAAAATACAGGACGCCCAGTCAAATTCAAATTTCATATGAACAACTTTAGGGTTGTGGGGTTTTTTCCCTTAGTGTAAGTATGTCTCATGCAATATTTGGGACGCACTTATACTTAAAAAATAAGTGACTTATTTGTTATCCAAAGCTCAAATTTAACTGAGTGTTCTGTATTTTCATTTGCTATATCTGGCACCACTTCTCAGGGAAGGCACCCTACTTTGACCCTCAGGTCTATTCTTCCCTTGGCCCATCTCTTTCCTCAAATCAGAGAACAGACTTGCACTCATGGGTATAGCAAGATATTGAGCCTCTCAGATCCAGGCACGTGAGAAATACATACACTTCTCTCCCAACTCCATCTCAGTTATTTTCACCGTCCTAGTATCCAGCACACACACACCCCTGAACAGTGAGCCTGGACTCCTGGCTTCTCTCCTATGGAAACTGCAACCACTCTCCATTATTAACTCTCAAGCTACCTCCCTGCATTGGCCCTTTGGCAACAGAATGGCAACCACAGGGTTCCCCCACTCCTGCCCATGCCTTTTCAGATGTAAGTGCCTTGAAGAGACAAAGCAATGGTTCTCAACCAACTTTGCAACTCGCTTTCCCTAACACTATCATTACCCAAGATGGATCAATAACATAATACAATTAACGATGCAGTTTTCAGAAGACATAGGTCTTTCTTAGCATTCACCACCTACTGAATGCCTCATTTATCTGCGAATCAATTTGCCTTGATGAGTGATCTTATCTCTCTCACCATTGCAGGTCTCAACCAGAGTTCACTTTCTGGAAGTTGATAAAAGAAATAACTGTCATCTCTTGCACACTCAATATCCATAAAATGGGAAACACAGCACCCATCCCATCATCAATCTGACAAGGTCAGTAGAGATCATAAAACCTGGATAGTTTTGTAGCCTCTAAACTTTGTAAAAAAATCAGGTAATATCATATAAGCCATGCAAAACCTCTCACCCAGTAGCAAATCTGAAATGCTATCTCCCTGATCTAAAGCCATGACTCAGAGGTAAAAACCAAGAGAACATTGATTAACAGTTGTGGTTTCCAGTCCCTTATTAAAATACATGCTTTAAGAATCAACCAAAAGAATGTGAGCAATCATTAACAAGGACATGAATGGATTTTTGCTTCAACCCTGTACAGTTTAAAAACAAAACCAAAAAAGTTTCCCTTTTGCATAACCACTTGCTTTCCTAGTCAAGAATCATTTGATTATGATGAATGGAAAGAGGAACCCACTAGAAAGATGCAGTGGGACATTGGTACCCAATCCCAGGAAGGATAAGTGACCTCTTAAGAATCCGAGATTGGCCGGGCGCAGTGGCTCACACCTGTAATCCCAGCACTTTGGGAGGCCGAGGCAGGCGGATCATCTGAGTTCTGGAATTCAAGACCAGCCTATAAATATGGAGAAAGCCCGTCTCTACTAAAAATACAAAATTAGCCAAGCGTGATGGTGCATGCCTGTAATCCCAGCTACTCAGGAAGGCTGAGGCAGGAGAATCGCTTGAACCCAGGAGGTGGAGGTTGCACTGAGCTGAGATCACATCACTGCACTCCAGCCTGGGCAACAAGAGCGAAACTCAGGGAAAAAAAAAAGAAAAAAAAACTAGCTGGGCGTGGTGGCGCATGCCTGTAATCCCAGCTACTTGGGAGGCTGAGGCAGGAAAATCACTTGAACCAGGGAGGCAGAGGTTGCAGTGAGCCAAGATTGCACCACTGCACTCCAACCTGGCCACAGAGCGAGACTCCGTCTCAAAAAAAAAAAAAAAAAAGAATCCAACATCATTGGACAAATTACTTTCTCCATCTCTTTTTCCTTGAGCCCACGTGGATTTTCATGTCCACCTATTTTCTTTCCTTAAAATCCTCCTCCTCCTTTTTGTGTCCCAATTCTCATTCATCTCTTGGATATCAGCCACTTTTTAGAGCAGCTCTCCATGGTGCCCAGGAATACACCAGGCCCTTGTTCTATCTTCTCATGGTGCCCTATGCTCAGTCTTCCAAACATGTATACTTCCATCATTGTTCATGCTTGTGTCTCTCACTAGACATAGGCTTGATGAGGAGAGCTAAGGCTCTCCTACCCCTCACTCACGGCCCCAACCTGAGTATGCTTCTTAGAGTTCAATGGAAGAAATAACTTTCAACTCTCCAGCCCTCAGCAGCCGCCATATAAGGTGCTACCTTACCAGGCGCTTATGATCTGCAAAAAGCAAGCTATCAATGATGGTACATACAGGTAATGGGTGGGGGATGCAGGAGCCTCATTCTAGGACATGAGTCCTTATTCGCATCACACTATTCCAATTTGCTTGGTGCCTTTGTGTCCTAAGGCTTGGCAGCTGCGATCTGAGGGAAGGAGTACAGCTAGTCCCTGGCATCAGCTCCCATGGGATCCTGTCATTGCTCCACCACTTCCTGGCTCAGTGACTACATCCAAAAGTTCTTTCAATGCTTTGAGCCTTAGTTGTCACTAATAAGTAATAATACAAGCCACCTACTGGGCTAGACTCTCCATGTGCATTCCATCTAATTCTTACAAAAACTCTTAACAGGTAAGTGTTATTTTGCCCCCATTTTAAAGATTAAAAATACTGAATCTCCAAGAAATACAGTAACTTGCTGAGGGTAACATATTCTAAAGGTAAATAAGACAAGTTTCAAGTGTGGGTCAGCTTCTCCCCAAGTTCAATCTCTTCCTATGAAAATGTACTGCCTCCCTAAGAAAGCCCCAACTGATGCCTGTACTCGGAGAAATAAAAACACACAGCAGAGGGTAAACAAGGGTATTAAAGTAAAAGGAGGCAGAAGAGGCCTGCATGGTTCTCTGGGGCCAGGTCCTGTGAAAGTGATCCCCAGGCAGGGCCCCTGCCTGCACACAGCCCCCACCTATGTGCAGCCCACCACCCTGCAGACAGACCGAACTGGCAGAGTGTCAGCACTCCCTTGACAGCAGGCTCCCAACCTCTAAGCAGTGTTCATCTCCAGAGCACAAAAACACCCTTCCTCAAACATGGCCAGGCCAGAAGGACTGGCCCAGGACCCCGTACACATGAGACAGTCCTCAGTACTTCCCAAGTGCCAGCTTGCGTGTGGCGGCCTTGCAGGACCACACACTGCTCTGCCTCTGGTTCCTCTTCATTCAGAATTCATTATGTCTCTCTTTCCATGAAAGATAAGCCAATAGCTGCCCTTGACAGCTGTTTTCTCCAGGGTCATTCCTTCTACCCGCCCAGCTACACTTGCTTTGGGGATGTGAGTGATGTAATGTTAGTACTATCAATTTCATTCAATCCTTCCAGGGTAGTCTACAGGGATGTGGAGGCAGCTAAGCTAAGTGCCCTTAACTGTTTGTGCGCTGTGTGAGCCAGGTAGGGAGGGAAACAAGGACAGAGAGAGCAAGGTTGGGAAATACAAATAGACAAACACTTCTAGTGCAGAGTATATGGAAAGTAGGCAAGAAAGAATGAGAATGGCCAGCAACTTGGAGTACTCAAACCCACTTAAGCCAGATCCAAGCGCTCCATCACTGAGTCCAGTGGGCAGCTCGGGAGCTGCAGGCCTCAAATGGGATGCTCAGTTACTGAAGCACAAAAAGCTGATGCTCCCAGCAAATTATTTGCCAGTCAAAGAGGGAATCCATCCCTTTGCAACTCTATGTCACTCAGCTTGGCAGTTTCATTTTGGTTAGGCCTCGGATGAAATCTATATCCATTCGTGAGGTAGAAAGGATTCCCACACCATGGAATATTGGACAGGGTATAGGGAAGGTGGACTCAAGTTTTCTGCAGATTAAATGAAGCAGTCAGCATCTGACAACAGCCTTGAAAGGTAAATACAAGGATGCCCATTTTTCGAATTAGTAAACTAAGACTCTTGGAGTTTCAGCAACTTACCAAAGGCCATGCAACTCGGAAGTAAAGAAGCTAGGATTGGCCAGGTGCGGTGGCTCACGCCTGTAATCCCAGCACTTTGGGAGGCCGAGGAGGGCGGTTCACGAGGTCAGGAGATCGAGACCATCCTGGCTAACACGGTGAAACCCCATCTCTACTAAAAATACAAAAATTAGCCAGGCGTGGTGGTGGGCGCCTGTAGTCCCAGCTACTCGGGAGGCTGAGGCAGGAGAATGGCATGAACCCAGGAGGCGGAGCTTGCAGTGAGCCTAGATCGTGCCACTGTACTGCAGCCTGGGCGACAGAGCGAGACTCCATCTCAAAACAAAACAAAAAAAAAAAGCAGCAGCTAGGATTAGAATGTAGGTGAGACTAGTGGTTCTCAAAGGGAAAATTTCACACACCCGCCCCCGCCCCCAGGTGGCTTTGGCAATGCCTGGATATATTTTTCATTGCCATATCTGGGGTGCTACTACTATTGAGTAAGTAGAGACAAGGGATGCTATTAAACATCCTACAACACGCAGGACAACCCCTCACAACAAAGAATCAGCCAGCTCCACGTGTCAGTAGTGTCATGGTTGAGAAACTCTGGGTTAGACTGACTCTGAGTCCCTGAGGCTGCAAGCATTGAGGAGGAGAGCAAGAGGACAATAAAATAACTGTAAAAATTCCATATGATGTTTCATAACTTCCCAGTGTCATTAGGGCCCTGGTGACTCCCAAACTTAATGGGACATATGGAGAAAATTCCCAAGGCTGTATAAATGATTCTGATGCATAATTATAATGGTGTGTCTAGTAGAAACCATGTGGCCCAATCTCCAGGCTGGGCATTGAGATTTCATCCCAAAGGTCTTCGTCGACCTGAACTAGATTTTCTGAACAGGTAGAAAGCATGTTTTAAACGGTGACTGAAAAAGAAAAGCCTCCTGCAAGGAAAACAGAGCATGGTTCAGGTGCCACAAGGTACCTCCAGAACTCTTCAGAAAACATCTGTGCTCATCAGACCTGGAGGCGATGGTCGACCCAATGTTTATCCAGGTTCTTGTTCCTTGGGCAAGGCGTCCCCTGCACAGGTCTTGAAGCTACCAGGGGATTTCCTTCTATCCTTGGAGGAAACAGCCAACTTAAAAGACCAAGGAGGAAAAAAAAAAATCCTCTGGAAACAGATTACAGTAGGAGTTAAGGACTTCTCACAGACATGTCTGGAAATGAAAGGGCCTACGTAGTGAGGAGGTAAACAGTGAAACATATTTCTTCAACACCGATGTGATCTAGTCATTTCCCTGCCTATAACCCAGGAGCTCTTGTGAAAGTCAAAACTCAACTTTCAGGAAGGAGGGCCCGCCCTGATTTGACTCCAGTCAGCCTACCCCACACCCCACCAGATAGAATCCCCCATCCCTGGATCCATGACTTTCGCTGCGCTGTGCCTTCTCTCTAGAAGGCTCCTTGGAGCCACTCAGCCCCACCTTCCTGGCAGTCAGCATTCCTACCGGAGCTTCCAGTGCTCTAGCGCAGAGCCTTCCTCTTACACATTTTTGTTCCCAGCACTAATAGACAGCGGAGCCTCTTCAGTAAGGTGACAGAATGAAAAAAGACAGTTGTGAGCTGCCATGGGTGGTGGCAGATACCAGATACTAACTAGATGACACCTTTAAATTACGTCAAGAGGCTTGGGAGTCAAGTCTGAAAGCACAGGTCATCTTACGCGTACTCTGTTAGGTTGTTACCTTACGTCTGTGACTTCATCTCTTCAGACCTCAGTTTCCTTATCTGTAAAATGGAGGTGTGAAAGCAATACCTATCTGGAGGGATTATTATAAGGATCAGTGAGAAATGCACGCAAAGCATTTAATTAGCACCAGGCCTAGAGAAAATGCTCTATTAAAAAAAAAAAAGACCTCCTCTTTTGGTAAAGGTGACATCATGGCCAGTAACAAGCGTTTTGCTTTAATTGGATAGTAATGATTGGAATTAAACTGATGCAGTCAGAATTGCTTGGCCCATCTGCTTTGTAACCAACAGGAGAAGGGTTTGAAACCAGGTTTGGCATGCTATCTGTGACCACACAAGAAAGTGATAATGGACCATGTGTGGCTCAGCTCCTTGCCCTCAACTCATTAGCAAAACACTAACCAAATAGAGTGGCCAGATGAGCACAGGGAAGAATACCGCTAGCTTTAAACGCAAGGCAGCAACCTCACATTGGCTTTGCAAGGTCAGAAGCTCCTCTGTCCTGCTGGGTGCTTCATTCCTCGTAGGGGCAGTTCCTGGAGCTCAGGGTTTGGCTACAACATGCTGTCAGTAACCAATTGCTGGTGAAGGAAGGAGAAGCAACTGCAAGCCATGTGGCAGCAACTGGTGCAGATAAGAAGGGCTGTGTGCCACAGAAGTTGGCATGGTCTTCTGCCCTACGAGAAACACAGAACTTTATGTTCTTAAAAGATAGTGCTCTTGGCTGGGTGCGGTGGCTCGTGCCTGTAATCCCAGCACTTTGGGAGGCCGAGGCGGGCAGATCACGAGGTCAGGAGATTGAGACCATCCTGGCCAACATGGTGAAACCCCGTCTCTACTAAAAATACAAAAATTAGCTGGGCATGGTGGTGCGCACCTGTAGTCCCAGCTACTCGGGAGGCTGAGGCAGGAGAATTACTTGAACCCGGGAGACAGAGGTTGCAGTGAGCCGAGATCATGCCACTGCACTCCAGCCTGGGCAACAAGAGCGAGACTCCATCTCAAAAAAAAAAAAAAAAGATAGCGCTCCTTTTTGCAGGTGCTACCGGTTTTCTTAAAAAAGTGATCTCCAACTCTATGGTTAAGGGAATGATTTAAGGCAAAACTACAAAATGCTTTTCATCTGGAGAGTAAGAGCTTTCACTGGAATCATGCTGCCCCTTCACTTCTCCTCCCTCCCTCCCTCCGCCTCCCTCTCCTCCCAGCCACCCCCTTCCCACTCATTCAGGGATCTGCCCTCATCCCCTTCTCCAACTCCAGTGCTAGCTTCTGCAGGGAGGCAGGAAGCTGTAACCAGACCTGGTGTGCGATGGTATCAGCAGCCCCTGGTGACTGGCACTTTTACTAAAAGCCTCCTGTCCCTCCTGCGCTGTGACTGAGTTTCCCTCTCCTAGCTGGACCTGTCTCCCACTTAGAGCAGTGTCAGGGCCTGAGGGTCGAGCACTTGCCCACCCGCAGTCAGCATCTGCTAATGTGAAGCAGCCTTCGGGTCTGAATTAGGACATCTCTCCCAGTGAAGAAGATAGTGCTGTTAGCTCTGGGCGAGCTGGGAGACATAGCCAAGGGACCTGTAGGCAACTGCATTTTCTTGGTTCCTAGGAGACTGGAGTTGAAATGCTGGGGAAGGAGGGGTTTGAGATAACACTGACATCTCCACCAGTTAAATCTGGGGTGCTTCAAAAAAGACTCTGAGTGCTGGGAATCTAAATGAAGGCAGAAGACTGAGAAAACGCAGAGCCCTACTGTGTGCCTGGTCCTTCCTGTGGATCACCTTAGGGAATCCACACAGTGCCTGGGAGTCCTCTCTCCCCATTTACTCAAAAGCCCACCTGAAAACCCTGCACTGGCCTGGAAATCTCCCTTCTTCACTGCCATGTGCAGCAGTCACCAAGCCCTGTCAATTTTACCTCCCAGAGAATTACTGATTTTATTTCACCCTTGCTGAACCATCTAACTTCTATTAATATTTCAAAACAGGCCAGGCATGGTGGCTCACACCTGTAATCCCAGCACTTTGGGAGGCTGAGACAGGTGGATCACTTGAGGCCAGGAGTTCAAGACCAGCCTGGCCAACATGGTGAAACCCCATCTCTACTAAAAATACAAAAATTAGCCAGGCGTGGTGGCATGTGCATGTGGTCCCAGCTGCCCTGGAGGCTGAGATGGGAGGATCCTTGAGCCCAGAAGATTGAGGCTGCAGTAAGCCAAGGCCATACCACTGTACCCCAGCCTAGGTGACAAAATAAGCAAAAAAAAAAAAAAAAAAAAAAAAAAACCACACACAAGAAAAACCCCTATATATATATAAACCTATGTATGTATGTGTGTGTGTGTATATGTATATGTGTGTGTATATATATATGTGTATATATGTGTATATATATGTGTGTATATATACACACATATATATACACACATATATATACACACACATACATACAGATATATATATACACATACATACATAAATATATATATATATTTCAAGACACAAGTATGAAGTGGTAAATATTATTATCATTCCCATTTTAGAGGTGAGGAAATTTTAGAGGTGAGGAAAAAGATCTGAGAGAAAATCTAATATAATTCCCTTGTTTTGGGTGAGAAAAAATAGGTCCTCCTTCACAATCTATTTGCTCTTAGTTTACACATAATCCTAACACATTTTCTTGTGTTCCAATCAAAACACACAAAATGCAGTAAACTATATTAATATAAAGAGGCAGGAAAGCTGCTATATATTTTCTAACAGCCTAATTTATCAGAAGAAAAGCAAAAAAAGTCTATATAGCAGCAGACTAGAAAGGCACAGCAGCCTGGGGTCATCTGCAGAAGGGCAAAACCCTAAAACTTAAGGGGCTTGGAAAGAGTCTCTATGTCTTGAGTTTCAGCACAAGACATTAACTAATATCTATTATAATGACTTAGCATTATCAATAAAATATCAAATTATGTTACATCCTATTCTCTTACACAAGATATAATTTCCTTTTTAGGTAGAAAAATTTACAAAACACATTTGAGAAAGATTTTCATTAACAAAATTAAGATGTTTTGTTTTTAAGGGAGTGAATTGGTTTACCGAGAAATTCACTCATGTAAAATAGATATTCTACCAATGCCATATTAAAAAAACAAGCAAAAATATCAGTGGGGATGAGTCTAGGGAACCAGAGCTGTTCAAAATGAAGAAAGTGAAAGGAGAAGTATTCCTTGGTGTACAGGAAATTTGGTGGTCATTTGGCCAAGTAATCTCACCAAATACTATGTATTTTGTGCTCACCATGACAGACATAGCAACCAAAGTTGTCAAACTCACATTTCAGCTTGTAACATGGGTGTGGGAACACCTGTGGACCTGGTTGCAAAGCCCTGAGGCTGGCAGCAGAGGTGACACCCTTAGAAACAGCCTTTTCCCCAATAGGACAATGGTCCTGACCTCAAATCTAACCCAGGTTTGAGGAATGAAAAGATCAAGAGAGGGAAATATTATAAACATTAGCTTCCTGGACATTGCTTGCAACAGAAAAAGCAGAAACTTGGTTTTTGAAATCCATTCTTTCTATAATCCTGGAAAGGTCCCAAACCAACCAAAAAATGGCAAGAAATTCCTTCAGAGACAGAAAGTACAGAGAATTATGAAATATTAGGATATGAAAAAAACTTTAAAAACAACACAGCTGTTGAATCATTGAGTACATTGTGTTTAAGACAAGGACTCTCTGGTCTATAGTGGAATACCAACAAGATAAATTCAAATCAAAAATTATTATTTGGCAATTTAGTTAAGGTTAGCCCCTTACTAAAATACCATGAGGAAAAGAAGGAAAAAAGTCTCAACTACAGGCAGTTTATGTTGTGCATAGTAGTGATCTAACTGTAACTTGTGCTTATTAGAACTGTGTAAAGTGAAGACATTGTTCTAATATGCACAAATTTCAGTTATCGTGGTGCCTGGAAAAGCAAAGACTGCTTGCATTTAATAAAGCAAAAGGTCTTATCTAAGCCAGCAGTACATTAAAAGGATAAAATCGTAATAAATAAGTAAGGTTTCTCCTAGTAATGCAAGAATGGTTCAACGTTAGAAAATTTTTCAATGTAATTCTATACATTAACACAATTCAATTTATTAACATAATAAATGACAAAAATCATATAACCATCTAAAACTTGTAGAAGAGCATTTGATAAGGTATAACACCCACTTCTGATGTATATGTTCATCTTTTAGTGCAGCTTATGCTTTGAAAACTAGAGGTAAAAGGAACTCTTCTAACTTGAGGGCATCAACCTACTGGCAGTATTGCAAAATAATTAAACACTTGAACTATGAAGTAAGCATTCCTGCAATCGAATCTCTAACAGATGTAAATGCCACGGGCAAGTTCCCTAACCTCTCTGTAATTTAGTTTCATCATCTGGAAAATGGGTGTCATAAGAAATGGATAATGCAAATAAAATTCTTACAATACTATCATTTAGTCAGTACTCAATAAATACTATTATTGCTATAAATATGTAGCAGGTAAAACCTTAATGCTAAATTAAGGTTACTTAATTACATAATGCTAAAACCTCATCAATATTTTAAATGTTTAAAGTTACTTAGTGTTAAAACCTTAGCAATATTTCCATTGAAGTTGAGATAAGACAGTTGTACCTGTTATCATTTATTGCTCTGATTCAACATAACGCTGGTGGTCTTGACCAATGTAATAAAATAAGAAAAAGAAAGGGAAGAGCTATAAATAATGGAAAGGTGAAAACAAAAAAGACAAAAGACTCAGAGGCCTTGGAAAATCGACTGTGTGTGCTTAGTCAAGTGGAAATAGCTTTCTTAGGGCTTGCTACCACTTCGAAAATGATTTGTTTACCCAAATTGGAATTGCAAAGGAGTTCTCTTCCCATAAACTGACCACAGCTGGCAGGTGGCCTGGAAAGCCAATAATGCAATTCCCAAATGGACTGGGTGACCAAATTAATGGGCAACAACATTGTTAGAGGGCATGTGTCCTCGCCCAGAAAGAATTTATAAATGTGTTAATTTCACCAATACGGTCGCATGTATTGGAGGGAAGGGGTGATTTTGTGGGACCACTATGGCAAACCTAAATTGTGGTCTTTATTGTTATTTTCTCATGGCTAGGGTGCTGTGGATAGAGGGCTAAATGTTCCTAAGATACAGCTGCTTGGGATTGGACTGATTAAAGGCCACCATCATTTCACACCCAGGGAGACGGGTGGGTGATGCTCCACAAGGATATCAGGATACCTCTGTCCTTGGAAATGGGGTTCCTGTGGCCAGGCTATGACTAAGCCCATAAACCAGACGGAACCTGGAACTTTTTAAAAACGATCTGTAAACTCCATTTACAGGAAATACATGTTATATGGCAAAAAGATGCAAATGGAAACTGATTCTGTAATATTTACTGATGTGTGTGATATGCTAGACATTAATCTTTCTATTAGAGTTACATAGTAAAGGGTTTGTAGGTTCCGTTACAGAATTAAATAAAAACAGAACTTACGTGTATGATGATCCTCTGGACTAAAAATATTTAGGATAAATGACTTAAGGCCCTCAGTTAACCTAATACTAATGGGGATTGCTTGGCCAAAGAGAAAGTAAATTTAATTCTAAAGAAATGATATACATAGATCAATGAATCTCTCGGTACCTATAGAAGGCTATAAGAGGTCGTGGGTAAAGAAGGAAGAAATGGAATAGAATAGCTTGATTAATTAGGGGATTTCGAAAGGTTTGTGAAGGGGGATAGTCACAAAATGTATGTGGGGGGTGGATTCCCACTTCTTATTGGATATTCTGGGTGTCGTGGTCGGTAGTGTGTTAGTGCAGTTGGTTGTCTCTATCCATGGGTTCTGCACCTGCAGATTTGACCAATCGCTGCTCAAAAATATTCAAAATAAATTAAAAATAACAATACAACAATAAAAAATAATACAGATCTTAAAATATAATTTAACAACTATTTACATAGCATTTACATTGTATTAGGTATTATAAGTAATCTAGAGATGGTTTAAAGTATACAGGTGGATTTTACAGGTTATATGCAAATACCACACCATTTTATATCTGGTACTTGAGCATCTGTGGATTTTGGCATCCATGGGGGTCCTGGAACCAATCCCCTGAGGATACAATGGGACAACTGTATGTTCATTTTTATGTGTTTAATTTTCTTGAAAAATTTAATATAAATTATAATAAAATACCTGGGAGATATGTGACATAAAAGCTATGGCAAGAGGGTGGGACTGTACAGGAAAGATTAGCAGCTGGACTGTGAATCACTGTACGAGTTTCTCTGGGGCAGTTTGACCCTTAGTCAGTGTGATGATTAATTTTATGTGTCCACTTAACTGATCCAAGGGATATCCAGAAGGTAGTAAAACATTATTATTGGATGTATCTGTGAGAGTGTTTCCAAAAGAGATTAGCATTTAAATTGGTAGACTGAGTAAAGAAGACCTCTTGCCAATGTGAGTCGAGAACCTAAACAGAACAAAGAGGCAGAGGATGGCAAATCTGCTTCTTGTTTGATTTGGGACTTCCTTCTTCTCCTGATGATGGATGCAGACTGGGACTCAAGACGCTGGCTCCCCTGGCTCAGACTTGGATTGAATTATACTACGGGCCTTCCTGGTTTTTCTGCTTGTGGATGGCAGATTTTGAGACTTCTCAGCCTTCATGATTGCACAAGCCAATTCCTAAATATATCTTATTGATCCTATTGGTTCTGTTACTCTGGAGAACCCTGACTGGAGAACACCTAGGTGTTGGCAAAATCAACCCTGAAATAGATGAGGGGTTTTCAAGGCCTCCCATGTACTCATTTCTGATCCAAGAATGTTCTGAGCTCACTCACAAACTTGGCTTTTAGGATTGTCCAGAGAATCACTTTCATTTTATTGACCTGAGCTCCACTACAGAATGGGAACCAATCACTTACTTTTGTAAGAGTTATATACCAGAACAGTATTTAAACTGAGGGGAGACTCCAAGCCATTCCCCTACCCTCCGCCATCCCTGCCAAACTATGCCAGTGGCTTTTCATGCATGTACTGATGTGGCTTGTACTCACATGATCTTTTCATGAGCCTCAAACCAAAACACATCTCATCTGGTAACTGAGGACAGTGGAAACTGCATCTGAGTGCCCACGACACCCAGGTGCTTATTGAGTAAAATAGTTTAAATAGAATTTGATTAAGAGAATATGGATGTATATAAGTACATGTAAGATGCAAAGAATCCTCAAATAATTAACACCCATGTACCCACCTCCCAGTTTAAGAAAATAAACAAAGGTTGTCTCTGAAATCCCTTTTGGTCACCCTGAAATACTATCTATTCTTTCTTCAGCAAAGGTAACCATTATCCTATATTTTGTTTTTCTGTTTCATTTCACCAAATTGCTTATATGCATAAATATATTGTTTCACTTTGCATGTTTTTAACTTTTAATAATGTGAGGTATTGTTTTATCACTTTCTTTTTTAAACTCAATATTATTTTCCTGGAGTTCAACCAGGTTGCTGCAAGTAGCTATAATTCATGCTGTGAAATATGTCATTGCATCACTATACATACTTATTCATTCTATTATTGGTGGACGTTAGTTATTTTCAACTTTTGTTATTACAAATACCACAGCTGTGAACATCCTTCTTTATGCCTCCTGGGGCACACATGCAAGAATTTCTCACTCAACTGCTTCTCTGCCATTATTGTAGAGTATTTTAGTATTTTCTATTTTTAATCCCATAAGGTATTATTATTTTCTTACATAGTTGAAGCTTTTTTATATTACCTCACTTTTTTTTTTTTTTTTTTTTTTTGAGACGGAGTCTTGCTCTGTCGCCCAGGCTGGAGTGCAGTGGTGCCATCTCGGCTCACTGCAAGCTCCGACTCCCAGGTTCATGCCATTCTCCTGTCTCAGCCTCCCGAGTAGCTGGGACTACAGGCGCCCGCCACCACACCCAGCTAATTTTTTGTATTTTTAGTAGAGACAGGGTTTCACCGTGTTAGCCAGGATGGTCTCGATCTCCGGACCTCGTGATCTGCCCGCCTTGGCCTCCCAAAGTGCTGAGATTACAGGAATGAGCCACCGTGCCCAGCCATTACCTCACATATTTTAATACTCTTAATTTGTTCTTATATCTCAAAGTTTCCATCTGGAATCACTTTCTATCTGCCTAAGTTATATTCCTGAGATTTTACTTTAGGAAAGGTCCAAGAGGGAAAAAAAACCCACATTCTATGTTTGTATGAAAACATCTTTCATTTGCCCCCATTTATGAAAGATATTTTTGCTAGGTAGGAAATTCTGGGTTGACAATTGTTTTTTTGTAGACCACAATCTTTTATCTTTCATTGTTATTCTTAAAAAGTAGTTATTAATTCAGGAACAGAAAACCAAACACCACATGTTCTCACTTGTAAGTGGGAGCTGAATGATGAGAACACATGGACACGGGGTCGGGAACAACACACACCGGGGCCTGTTGGGGGAGTGGGTGAGGGAAGGGAGAGCATCAGGAAGAATAGCGAAGGGATGCTAGGTGTAATACCTAGGTGATGGGTTGATCTGTGCACACCATGGCACACGTTTACCTATGTAACAAACCTGTACATCCTGCACATGTATCTGGGAACTTAAAATAAAAGTTGAAGGAAAAATAATTAGTCATTGTAAATCTGTCATTCCTTTCAAGATAGTCAATCTATTATCACATGCTTTTTTTTTTTTTTTTTTGGAGACAGGGTCTCGCTCTGTCACCCAGGTTGGAGTGCAGTGACACAATCATAGCCCTATACAATCTCAAATTCCTGGGCTCAAGCAATACTCCCACCTCAGCCTCCTGAGGCTAACGGACTACAGAAGTGTGCCACCGCACCTAGCTAATTTTTTTAATTTTTTGTAGAGACAGGGTCTATATTGCTCAGGCTGGTCTCTAACTCCTGGACTGAAGCCTCAGACTCCCAAAGAACTGGGATTACTGGCACGAGCCACCATCACATGCTTAAGATCTCTTATCTTTGTTAATATTTCATTTTGCTAAGATTTTTTAGGTGTGGATTTATTTTCTTATGCTCAGCATTCATTTGGCTTCTCAAGTCTGGGGATAGATGTCTTTCAGTTTTCAAACATTATCAACAATTTGGTATTCAAATATCACCACTCCCCTAATTTTTGTCTTTTCTCCTTCTGAAACGTGAATGAATGAGACACATACTGGAAAATTTCTATCCTATGTGTGTATTTGTGTGTATATATACATATATACACATAAGAGATATATGTTAATCTCTCTTTTTTAAAAAAATCTCCTTTCTTGAACTGTTCTGGGTAATTTATTTAGATCAATGCTCTAGTGCACCAAATTATTCCTTCAGATAAGTTTGATGCTATTTAACCTATAAAATTTTTAATTAGCATCAGTGAGGTATAATTTACACACAATAAGACTCACCAATTTTATGTGTATGTTTCAACAAGTTTTGACGAATGTACACAGTTGTGTAACCATAACCTCAATCATGAGATAGAATATGTCTATAACCACCAAAAAGTCCCACTGTGGCCCTTTGCAATTAATCCCCTACTTCACCCCCAACCCTTAAAAATCACTGACCTGCTTTCTGTCACTAATTTTGCCTTTACCAGAATTTCACATATAGCAAATCATACACTATATATTCTTTTGTGTTCATATTGTTTTACTTAGCAAAATGCTTTTGAGATTCACCCATGTTATTTGGTATTAGTAGTTCCTCCTTCCGGGTGATGAGGAATATTCCATTTATGGTTATACTGCAATATATTTATTCATTCACCAGTTGATGGACATTTGGGTTGCTTGTAGGTTTTAGCTATAATGAAAACAGCTACTATGAACATTTGAGTACAAGTGTTTGTGTAAATCCACATTTTAATTTCTGTTGAGTAAATAATCTGTTTTCCAAAGTGTCTGTACCATTTTGCATTCTCACCAGTCATGTATAAGAATTTCAGTTGCTATATATCCTCACCAACATTGCTATAATCAATCATTTTAATTTTACCCATTCTAACAAATGTGCAATTATATTTCTCCTTATGGTTTGGTTTTGCAGTTCTCTAATGTTAATGATGTTGAGTATCTTTTCATGTGCTTATTCACCAACTGTACATCTTCTTTGGTGAAATATGTATTCAAAACTTTTGTCCATTTTTAAATCTGATTGTTTGTCTTATTATTGGATGGCAATGCTATATATTCTAGATACGATGACTTTATCAGGTATCTTCTTTGCGTTTATTTTCTCCCAGTCTATTTCTTACCTTTTCCCTTGCCTGTGTCTATTTAGAAACAAAAGTTTTTAATTTTGATGGAGTGTAAATTTTCAGTTTTTCTTTTATGGTTCTGTTTTTTGTGTCTAAACCATGAAATCTTTACTTAAGCCAGGCCACACCCACGCATACATACAAAAATCTTCTATGTTTTTTTCTAGAAGTTTTGTAGTTTTACCTCTTAAATTTAGATGTTTTTTATTTTGAGTTCGTTTTATATATAATGTGTGGTAAGAACCAAGACTCACTTTTTTACACCTAGAAATCCCATGATTAAAGTAAGAGTTGTTGGAAAATTGGTCCTTTCTCCATTAAATTATCTTGGCATCTTTGTAAAAATATGAACTGGCCAAATGCAAGTGAGTCAATTTCTAAATTCTCTATTGTGTTTTATTGATCTATATGTTTATCCTTATGCCAAAATTACAATGTATTAACTATTAAAGATTTATAATAAGTCTTTAATTAGATTGTGAAAGTCTTTCCAGTTTTTTTCTTTTTTTCAAAACTGTTTTGTCTATTTTAAGTGTTTTTAATTTCCATACAAACTTTAGAATTATTTTTTCCATTTCCTTTTGTTGTTGTCAAAAGTTTGCAGGTTTTGATTAGGGTTGCAATAACATAAAGATCAAATTTTGTAAAATTTATATCTTAATAATATTGAGTCCGCCGTCTATGAACATGGTCTGTCTTTGCATTTATTTCATTCTCCTTTCATTTCTCTTGGTAATATTTTGTTATTTTCAGCATACAGGTATTGCGTATGTTTTTAAAACTTCACTTCTAGGTAGTTAGTATTTTGACACTATTTTAACTTTTTAAATTTCCACTTCTGATTGTGTGTTGCTAGCATGTAGAAATAAAATTTAATTTTATATGTTGTCTTAGTTTTAAGAAAATTTCGTAAACACACTTATTGATTCTAGTAATTTCTTTGTAAATTCCCTAAGATTTTCTACATTAACAATTATGTCGTCTGTGGATAAAGAGTTCTTTTCATTACTTTCAACCCGTATGCCTTTTCTTTTTCTTGCTTTCTGCACTGAATAGGACTTCCAGAATAACGCTGAATAAAAGTCATAATGAGAATGAATACACTTACCAATCTCCCTGTCACTATTAGGTATGATGTTAGTTGTAGGATTTTTATTATAGATGCCCTTTATCATGTTGAGGAAATTCTCTTCTACTACCAGTTTCCTGAGAATTTTTATCATGAATATATGTTTAATTTTATCAATAAAATTTTAGTGTCTATTGAAACGACTCTTTGTCTGTTAATATAATGAACTGTAATGTTTTTGAGTAGTAAACCAACCATGATTTTCTGTGTGAACTCTGTTTAGTCATGGTATATTATTCTGCTTGTATATCATTGGATTGGATTTGCTAAAATTTGTTAAGGATATTTGCATCTGTATTTATTAGGTACATTAGTCTGTAGTTTACTTTCTTGTAATACGTTTGTTTTTGTTCTTGTTTGTTTTTTTACCATCAGGGTAATGCTTGCCTCATAAAAGGAGTCAGGAAGTGTTTCCTCTTCTATTATCTGTAAAGATTTGTACAGAATTGGTATTTTTAAAATATTTACTAATCAGAGAAATCATCTGGGCCTAGAATTTTCTATGTGAGAAAATTTTAACTATGAATTCAAATTAAGTACATATATATGGTTAATTCAGGTTATGTTTCTTCTTGCGTGAGCTCTGGTAGTTCGTGTCTTCCTAAGAATTTGTTCATTTCATCTAAGGTAATATATTAGCATGAAGTTGTTCATACTTACTACTTTACTATCCTTTTACTATTTGTAGTATCTATTTGTAGTATCTGTTCTGTTATTACTGGTTTTAATTTTTGTCTTTTATTAAGTTTAGCTAGAGTTTTATCAGTGTCATTATTCATTTCAAAGAGCCGGTTTGGATTTTATTAATTTTCACACTTGTCCATTATATTTGCCTTTTAATAGAACCAGATTTGGGTTTCATTTAGTTTTCTCTGTTATTCTGTTATCTGTTCTATAGAATTCTGCTTTTATCTTTAATAGTTTCTTTCTTCTACTTGCTTTGAGTTTTGTTCTTCTGTTTCTATTTTTTAAGCAAAAACTTATACCTTTGATTTAATATCCATCATTGTTTTTCTAATGTATATACTGTTATTAGTTTGTTAGGTCTACCATTACAAAGTAGCATAAACTGGGTAACTTCAACAACAAAAATGTATTTTCTCACAATTCTGGAGGTTAGCAGTTCAAGAACAAAATGTCAGCAGGGTTGGTTTTGTCTCAGGTCTCTCTGCTTGCCTGGTCGATAGCTGTCTTCTCCATGTGTCTTCACAGAATCTTCCCTCTGTGTGCTTCTGTGTCCCAATCTTCTCTTCTTATAAGGATTCCAGTCCTATTGGATTAGGGCTCACCCTAATCACCTCATTCTAATTTAATTACCCTTTTAAAGGTACAGCTCCAAATACAGTAACATTCTGAAGTACCAGGAGTCAGGACTTCAACATCAGAATTTGGGGAGATGCAATTCAGTTCTCAACAGTAACTATGCCCTAAATTTTGATATGTTTTTCCATTCAGTTCAAAACTTTTCAAATTTGCCTATGATTTGCTCCTTGGTTTGGAAATTTTTTTCAGACATCTTTTGGTTTACTTCTAGTTTCATGTTTTGCAGACAAAGAATATACTTTGTATGATTTTAATATCTTATGTTTGTTGAGACTTGTTTAATTCAGTATTATGGTAGATATTCATAAATGTTCCTTGTACACTTGGAATGAATGTGTATCTTTCTGGTTTTTGTGATTTATAAAATGTCTAGTTGAGGCATTTATAAATTAGTTGCTACAGCTGGTAAAGTCTTCTACATCCTTACTGATTTCCTGTCTACTTGTTCATTCAATTATTGCGAGAGTAGGGTTGAGATCTCCAACAATGACCGTGGATCTGTCTATTTCTCCTTTTGGATGTAATCGTTTCTGCTCTATTTACTGTGAAGCTCTGTTCTTAGGAACACAGACATTTGTGGCTGTTATATCATCTGATGAGATGACCACTTATTCAATATGAAATGGCCCTTTTTATTCCTGGTAATATTCTTTGTTCTAAATTCTACTTTGATATAAACATATCCAGTCCAACTAGTTTGATCGCACAGAATATATCTTTCAATTATTTTAAACTAATTGTATCAGATTTATTGTGTGTTTCTCTCAGACAGCATATAGTTGTGCATTACTTTTGTTAATCCAAATTGACTATCTGTCTTTTGATTGGTGTGTTTACATCATTTCCATCTCATATATTAATATGTTAGATTTAAAACATTTATCTTGCTGTTCATTATATATTTATTCTGTCTGCAGTTTGTTTCCTTTTTGCCTTTTGCCTTAAATGTTTCATTTCATTTTATCTTCACTTTGGGCTTATTAGTTTTGCCTCCTTGGTTTACTTTTTTGGTTGCTTTAGAGCTTAGAGTATCCATCTTTCACTTATCACTGATTATCTTTACATAACATTATAACACATCACTTATCATGTAAAAGCCTTACAACACAATGCGTTTTCTTCATCTGTCCTCTACGCTATGCTGTTATGGCCACATCTTTAACTTGATCACGTCTTTAACTTTGACATACTCTAGAGACATAACAATAAATACATTGTTACTTATTTTTCTTTAAGCAATTAACAGTGAGAAATATTACCTTGTTAAAGTTTATCCCCCTTCCTGACCTCTCTTTCTGGCCCTCCAGTTATATTTTAGACTGCCTTTTCCCCTCTGTCGGGCTATTTACTTTGAGAAGTTTCTGATGCTATATATTCAGGTTCATTCTTCTTTTCTTCTGTAGTGTTTAACCTGTCATCTCATTCAGTGTATTATTTTTCCTTTCAGTTTTCTTTTTTTTAACCAAAAGGAATATAATTCATTCTTATATTTTCTATTTCTCTCCTCAATCTGCTCATGTTTTCTTCTACATTCTTAACACACAGAGTATACCTGTGTTCATGTCCTTGTTTGCTATTTCTACCACCTCTGTCATTTGGGGATGTGTTTCTATTTAATGATTTTTATTTGGGTTATGGACCTTATTTTTCTGCTTCTTTCATGCCTGGTAATTTTTGACTGGATGCCAGACATTGTAAAATTTAAATTGTTGGGTGTTCGATTTTGTTTTCTTTAAACAGTGTGCAATTTATTCTGGCTCACAGTTAGGTTACTTTAAGTCAGTTAGATCCTTTCAAGTTTTGCTTTTACACTTTGTCAGAGAAGAGTCAGAATAGCCTTTAGTCCAGAACTAACTTAGAATCATTATTAAGGGGATACCCTTTTGAGGATTCTATTGGATGTCTCATGTCTTATGAGGGCTTTCGACTCTGGTCAGTGGTAGCTAAATTATCCCAATCCCTGCTGAGCTCTGGGAATTATTCTGCTGTTTCCATTCCAGTAGTTCTAGTAGTTCTTCCTTGGCCATTGGTAGTTTTTTTTTTTTTTTTTCAATCATGCACAGATCAATACCTAGTCAAACATCCATAGGGAGCCCTCTGCAAATCTCCAGAGCTCTTTTTATAGCTGTTCCTTCTTCTTCTCTGGTATTCTGTCCCATATACACTCAGTTCTCACTGAATATCATTGACAAGTTCTTAGAAATTGCCACTTTGAGCAAAACAACATATAATGAAACCAATTTTACCATAGGCTAATTGACATAAACAAGAAATAAGTTTCTATGGCATATTTCTGGTCACATAAACATCACCAAACTTCTACATAAAGACCAAAACACTTCTAATGTTAAATATTGAAATAACTGTGAGCTGTACAGACATTTAACACAGATTAATAAAAATAAGCCAGATAATTCTTTACCCACTTATTCAGTTCAGGATCTCAGGTGGCTGGACCCTATCCCAGCAGCCCAGGGCACAAGGTGAGACCCAACCCTGGATAGGATGCCATTTCATCACAGGGCACACTCACACACACACTCACACTCACTTGGACTGGGAGAATTTAGACATGCCGATCAACCTAGTGTGCACATCTTTGGGATGTGGGAGGAAATCAGAGTACCCAGAGGAAAACACAGACATGAGATCATGCAAACTTCACACAGACGGTGGCCCCAGTGAGGAATCGATATTTTTTTCCTCATTCGTGTTATAATGAAATGACGTTATTTGAGGACCTGCTACATTCTATTTGGCCTCCTCTACATCTGAGCACTGCCTCCTCAACCCAGTAAGGGCACTAGCCTTAGTTTCAGCCTCTCCTCCCTAACTTGTATCCTGAAATTTGCCTCTAGGATGCAAGCTGGTGCCATCATAGGGCTGACTTGACTTCTCTTGCTTATCACACTTCTTGTCTACCAAGTATCCAATGTCTAAAAACTGTTGTTTCAGGTGCTTTGCCTGATTTTCTAGTTTTTGAAAGCAAAAGTAGAAAAATCTGGCCCCTGTCACTAAATTTTGATCAAAAGTAGAAATATGTCATCGTTGAGTTTTACATGTCAATCATTTTTAATTTCTGGAATATCTGTTTGATTCTTTTTACAAATCTTCCTGTTCTTCAATCAGTTTCAGGTTGTTCTTTTACATTTTGAAATTTAACAGATTATTTTCTGTGTCTGAAAATGTTAATATTTGAAGTCTTCAAGGATCTGATGTTTCTCTGTTTGCTGACCTTCACTCAAAGTACCTTGTTATTTGTGTGTTATTTTGTTTGTACCTATATATTTTGTGTATGTCTGTGTGTGTGTATGTGTGTGTGTTTTACTATGAAGTGCTCCTTTTTATCTGGAACTTTGAGAATGAAGATAAATTCTTCTAATTGGAATCAGTTTTTGCTTCTGGAAGACATTGACGGAAACTACCAGTCCTCAGTCATTTCAATCTCAAATTGAGATTTTTGTAGACCTCCCAGATGGCAGGTTTGACAGCAGTAAACAAAGAAAAGGGCTAGTTTGTGGCAATTTACCAGGGAATATTCCCATCTCCTCAATTCAATTCCAAGTCTTAAGCCTGACAGTTATCTTTGCAGTCCCCTGCAGGTGTGAAAGTGGGTGTCTTCCACTCCACCCTTAAACTGATGTAGCTCGCTAGAGTCCCAGTTTTATAAAGTGGATGTCCTATTCCAATCTCCACCTTACATGGATGCTGGGCATTGAATGCCACCCCATAACATTTAAGACCAGGCAAGCAAGGACCTAACCAAATACCTCAAGTCCAAAGCCAGATAATGAGTTCTACTTCTCAGAGACTCTGCTTTCATTTTTATTTTTGCCTTACTGTTCTTTAATATCTTGTCTCATATTCGTTTAGAAATTTTTTAAATATATTTATCCGGTACATCCAACTGTTTTTAGCAAGTGAGTCAGTTTAGGGGTCTTGTTCATCATATTGGCAGAAGCCAAAATATCACTGTGTTCTTAATTTTGACTGTAGTGTGTTTGACAAATGTATTTTGATAAAGTCAATTTTACCACCCTTTTCCTTTGTATCTGCTATCATGGCTTAAGTGGTTTGAAAACAAATTGGGGGAGGGGCCTTTGCCTGTTTTCTTCCTCTAGTATTTTATAGCTTTATTATTTACATTTAACTATTTAATTATCTGGAAGTTATTTTATGAAAGATTTAAATTTATGTTTTTCAAAACAATTAACCATTTGTCTCAGCACTGTATATGGAACAATCTGTTTCTGGTTTCTTGTATTATCCTTATGTACTTGATTCTCATACAGATTATTGTCTGTTCCTGTACTATCCATATTGGTTCACCAAACCATCTTTGGATTCTTGCAGTAGTATGACATTATGCTGTTTTAGTTGCTGTATATGTTTAGAATGTTTCTCTCTGGAATGGTAAGTTAAACCTAGTATTCCTTTCTACAATGTTTCTTCTTTCTTGTCATGACATTTCTATGTTCACACACAGTTCTAGGATCTAGACCGGAAGTCATTAAAATGTACGTTAATTTGGGAAGAACTGATATTGGACTCCATCACAAAGTCACTTGATTTTGTTCTCACGTTAGTCCTTCAATGAGGGGTAATTTTTCAAGGTCCCATGAAGGAAAGACAGCAGTCTCGTGGCTTCCGTGGTCACTCTTAAGTAACACAGAGTCCTGTGGTCCCTTTGTCACAAAAACAATCCCATATCGGGAGCTAAAATGTGTTTTAATAAGGTATACTTCAGTCTGCATTCATAGTCACGCCTGTCCCCATCACCCCTTACAAGGGTCTGCTGTAAGAAGTAACCAGCAGACGGGAAAACAGTGTGTTTTCTGCACCTTCCTTCTTTCCTGTTGGCCTCTCCCTCTGCGTGCAGAAGCAGTGCTGGCCATTCCAGGGTTGGTTGGATGAAGTAGGAGGATTAAAAGAAAATTCTTACCTACCTGACACTGTCAGAAGCTGGATTCATGTACTGAGCTTGGCCCATGCTTCCACCTGGTGTTTTCTCTAATGGGACACTTCCATGGTCCTCTGAACTGTCACTAGGGGTCTCTCACTTTCTTTTATCTGGTCACGTACTTGGCTTTACTAGACGGCCACTTACTTGATCTATAGTCCTCAAGAATCCAGCAACAGCTTTAGCTTTTCTTCACTGAGTTCAATTTGCCTTGACAAGTTCCTAGATAACCTCACAATGGGTTTCACCCAAGGCCCACTTTCGGTCCAGAGAAACACCTTCTTTGCCCCAAGTGCTATTCATGCAAACCAGTCCCCACCCTCCCCACCCCCATGCCACCATCAGCTTGTCCATCCACACCTGCCTAGCTCATTTTCTACCCCTCACTCAAGGAGTCAGGCACCAGCCCACTATGCCCCTTACTGAAAAGTGACATATATGGTTTTCTACATGGTTTTGTTGACTTGAAGTGAAGGAAGAACCAACACCACACACACACACACACACACACACACACACACACACACACACACCTTGCTTTATATAAGTAAAGTTTCACCTCAAAGTTCTTTTCAGAAACACTTCCTTCAAAATCTCTCTCCTGGGCCAGGCACGGTGGTTCACACCTGTAATCCCAGCACTTTGGGAGGCTGAGGTGGGCAGATCACTTGACGTCAGGAGTTGGAGACCAGCCTGGCCAACATGGTGAAACCTCGTCTCTACTAAAAACACAAAAATTAGCCAGCCATGGTGGGGGACACCTGTAATCCCAGCTACTCATGAGGCTGAGGAAGGAGAATTGCTTGAATCTTGGAGGCAGAGGTTGCAGTGAGTTGAGATTGTGCCACTGCATTCCAGCCTGGGCGAGAGAGCAAGACTCTGTCTCAAAAAAAAAACAAAAAGAATTTAAAAAATATTAAAAATCTCTCTCCTGACTCATTGATATGCCTCACGTGGATGAGAGGTTTCAGAGACACCAATTGTTGATCCACCACCCCAAAACTTGTTCACGGCAGTCCCTTTGGTGTGTCACACCTATTGTCTTCATGCCTCAGCCAGAAATAAGAAGAGTCCTCTTCAAAACTTTGTTAGGCTAGGTCAGAAAGTTAGATGAGGGATGAATACTGCTTCAGTCCGTTTTGTGCTGCTGTAACAAAATCCCTGAGACTGGGTCATTTATAAAAAACAGAAACTTACTTCTCACAGTTCTGGGGGCTGGGAAGTCCTGGATCAGGGCAGCAGCTGGGCTGATGACGGCTGCTCCCTGCTTCCAAGATGGCACCTTGAATGCTGCATCCTCCAAGAAGGAGGAATGCTGTGTCCTCACATGGCAGAAGGCAGAAGGGCAAGGGGGCAAAAGGGGACCAACTCCCTTAGTCAAGTCTCTGTGGAAGGGCACCTAATCCATTCAGAAAAAAGGAGCCCCCATGCCTAATCATCTGGAGTGTCCCACCTCTCAATACCATCACATTGGCAACTCCTGAATATTAGAGGGAACGTGTGTGAACCCTAGAAGATATGTAATCCTCTTGAGGGCTGATACGGTTTGGCTGTGTCCCTCCCCAAATCTCATCTTGAATTGTAGCTCCCATAATCCCCACGTGTCGTGAGAGGGACCCAATGGGAGATAACTGAACCATGGGTGCAGTTTCCCCCATACTGTTCTTGTGGTGCTGAATAAGTCTCACGAGATCTGATGGTTTTATAAAGGATTATTTCCCCTTCTGCTTGGCTCTCATTCTCTCTCTTGCCTGCTGCCATGTAAGACATGTCTTTCACCTTCCACCATGATTGTGAAGCCTCCCCAGCCACATGGAACTGTGAGTCCATTAAACTTCTTTTTCTTTATAAATTACCCAGTGTTGAGTATATCTTTATTAGCAGCATGAGAACAGACTAATACAAAGGTGATACATTTGATGTGCAGACTGAGGCTCTGATCACCTGCCTGTTCTGAGAAACCGTGGGCTTTCAATACAATGGCCACAAACATCCTCCCCAGAGGCCTTCTTCCCACAGCCCCTGCCACCCTTCAACCCTCCCCCTGAGCTTCCCCTACTAATTATGTCCATTTTGTGCACCACCCACCTAGGCTCCCATTCTCATAGAACATTTTCCCCTTCCCCTCAAATTTATAAGAGTGTCAAGCGGCCCTGCCCCTGGAACTCCTGCATTCTTCATGGAAGAAGCCCATCAGCATTTTGTGAGCCTCTCCTGAAGGGAGATAATGCCCAGCTTCATCACCAGATGACCTTCCTTTTCAATGGTAGCTTCCTCCTCTTGTATGGCCACAGAGAACATTCATGACCACATCCCATCAAATGCCAAAGTTGTCTGAAGCCCCTGGGCTCCAGGGACCTGTAACCCCACCCATCACAGGACACGGTTTTGTGGGCCCTAACATGAACAGAAGCATGATATCAGCATGATATTAGTCTCTAGGCCCAGCCAGGAGCATTCATTCACAGAGAAGGCAAGGACCCCAGTTTCTTTTTTAACTTTTCTTCATTCCATAATTTTTTTATATAGAATGCTTTTTAAGGATCCAGAAAGTTCTGATCCTATCCCCACATATCCCTGGCCACGAAGAAAATAAACCGATATCCTTTGCCACAAGGCACATTTCCTATACATTATCTTTAGACCAAAACTGATCACTGATAAAATACAGGTCTGTCATGGGGTTAAGTAGCCCTTAGATTATTCTGTGAAAAACAGAATACTGGATGAGAGGATTTCGCTGACCCTTCCCAATCTAAGATCAATTATTCTGATCCCAAATACTTTCATTTTCCTTTTGTCTTCAGTTTGGCAATGAGACACAGCCACCTTGGCAAGGAGGTGAAAGAGAAGGACAGGTGGACATGTAAAGAAGAGGCCACGAGTTCGGGTCTCTTTCGGAAGGTTTGTGTGCTTGTTGGTTCTGTATCGTGCTGTTCATCTCTCCCCGCTCAAATCTTTAGAGTTGACTGGAGATTCTGAAGATATATCTGGTATTCAAATTTCCTCTCACTTCTCTGATCATTTCTAGAGACCCCTTGGTGATAGAAGAAAGCAAGCCATGTCAACAGCAGGGTTGGGGAATATTTTCCTGCTGTTCCAGCTGTGCTTATCAGAGGCCTCTTCCCTGCCCTAGACAGCTCGAAATGGAGCTGAATTGGGATTTGTAAAAGTAAACAATGCAAAGCCCAAGTTGTTGTTTTTTCTATCACCCAATGGATGAGAGGCTGTGAGTAAGAACTGTAGAGAACTCAACAAGACTGCTTTTCCTAAGGCTGACGGAGAAGCCAGTTGTGGCGGCTGGTTCCGGCAGGGAGGGAGTGAAGCTCCTCAGCTGAGGCCGACTACACTGCAGCTCCGTCAACGACCCTGGAAGAGGGTTGCCTCTGTTGACTACCAAAGTCTCCTCCTCTGTCATCCTTGGGAATGTTTTCAAAACATCTACAAATACTGTTTTATTTTCTAGAAGCAAACACATGTTTTAAATAGCCTGGGTTTTCTTCATACCCTGTGGTCAGAGACCCATGAAACTCTAGGCTGCTTTCCCCAGATACACACTCCGGCTAACTCGAGAATCCACCTACAGGTTGAGGTAAATTCTGTCAGTCTAGTTGGCTCATCCTAAATCATGCCTTTAACTTTTAAGTAAACAGACCCTTTATTTATAAAGGCTTCATTTAAAAGCCAACAACATTCATTATAGAATAGAGCAGTCATAGCTGTCTTAGATACAGATTGCCATTCGTACGGTCACCAACGTCATCACATCCTTGGGAAGGCCACTCCATAAAAAGGACCGGTTCACTGGGTTGAAGTCATACTACCTCCTGGGAGCAAGCTGGGTGAGCACATTCCTGGGTGCCATCTTAACAACTGCAAAGCTATATAGAGATTATAAAGTCCCTCTCACCCTCTCCTGCTTCTAGCCTCTCCCTGGCAGAAATACCCACAGAAATCCTGAACCAAGAAAACGCTTTCATTAGGACCCCGACCTTCTGTTTAAAATGGCAAAGTTATACTCTGCTATTTTTCTAGTAAATTACAAAACAGGTAAAGTTGGAAACAGACACATACAGACTATGACTGACAACCAATCTGTCGGTAAATTGGGTGGCATTTAGAAATGTCTTCCTACTTAGAAGGTTCCTACTTCTACTTAGAAGGTTAAATTCGTGAAAAAAGAACAGAGCTGGCTGGTCACAGTGGCTAATGCCTGTAATCCCAGCACTTTGGGAGGCTGAGGCAGGCGGATCACCTGAGGTCAGGAGTTCAAGACCAGCCTGGCCAACATGGTGAAACCCTGTCTTTACCAAAAAAAATTACAAAAAATTAGCTGGGCATGGTGGTGGGCGCCTGTAATCCCAGCTACTCGGGAGGCTGAGGCAGGGAGAATTGCTTGAACCCGGGAGTGGTGGCTATAGTGAGCCAAGATCATGCCACTGCACTCCAGCCTGGGCGACAAAGCAACACTGCATCTCAAAAAAAAAAAAAAAAAAAAAAAGAGCTGTTGCATTGTTTTTGACTATATGAAATAAAGTTGCTTTGCCTTCTTTAACAAAAGTAGGAAGAGGCTTCCTCCCTAACCCTTTACAGCCTTACCTAATCAAGGTTGGGATCCATCCAAACACAGCACTGGGCACCGGACAGCCGCCTGTCTACTGTGTAGCTGATGCCCTTGAAGTGGCCACAATGGTAGCAACCCATAACCCTGTTCGTCTTGCTACCTTCATTTGAGGACTGAAGCATCCAGTAAACAAGGGTCCAGGGTAAATGGGTGGCTGCAGAATGTGACATGGCAATAGATTCCCTAGCAGTAACATTCCATGGGAGGCGCAAAACTACAGAAAACTCAGGTAGCAATTTATGATGAAGACTGTAGTTTTTCATTCATCTAATCAGAGCAACAGAAATACATGTCTGAGAGAACATCTCACAGCAGCATCAAAGAACCTACAAACTAGGAAGTGAGCTGGGGCTACCTGACAATGTGACTTTTCAGCTATCAAAACAATCAAGGAAAATCTAATACTCTGTATGCTGGCAAATGCTGAGCCTAAGAATGTTTCTGGGGCTGGGGGGTTGCAGGAAGACAGGCACATGCGCGTGCACACACACACACACACGCACATTTAGGCCTATGTAAATATTCACTCATCTATACGTATTTTGAGGGTTCAGTTCACAGTGGTTCCGAATCACTTCAGCTTGCTTTGGGTGCAGTTCATGTCTCCAATCCTTGTAGCGCCACATATCCTTAAGTTTAACTGAATTTAAACAGTAGACTCAAAATATAGAATGATAGCACAATGATTCTTTGACTTCTAAAGTCAAAAAACCAGAATTTGAGTTATTTCATGTTATGAACTGAACGTATCCCCCCAAAATTTGGAGCCCTAATCCCCAAAGCGATGGTATCAGGAGGGGGCCTTTGGGAAGTGATTAGGTCATGAGGGTGGAGGTCTCATGGATAAGATTAGCACCTTTATAACAACAGACATGACAGAGATGATCTCTCTCTCTCCACCATGTGATCTTGGACTTCCCAGCCTCCAGAACGGTAAGAAATAAATTCCTGTTGCTTAAGCCACCCAGTCTATGATGTTTCTGTTTATAGCAGCCTGAGCTAAGCCACTTCGATTTTATTGTTCTATCTTACCACTTTGTGTTTAAAATTTAAAAAGTGAACACAATATATTTCTTTAAGCTGCAGCTATGTTTTTTAAAAGAAAAACATACTTAAGAAGTGTATTCAATATTTTCCTTAAGTTGAATATTATCTTTTAAATTGAAATGTATATACTTTAAATTGTCTTAAAACTAAAGAATAAACCAGCCCCCGGCCCAGCTGACGGGAGCGCAGAGTCCCGGCTCCGCAGGGTCGCGCCGAGCCAAACGAGCCCCAGCAGCGCCCAGGTGTGAGCCCGCGTCCTCGCTGTGGCCGCTACTGCGGGCCGCGGCGTTTTTATTCAGGCAATGCTTAAGGGAAGCCGGCAGCGCCCGGTGCATTGTGGGAGCCGTTCACGGCCCATTTTCCGGGAGGAGGCGGAGGGCGCAAAGCAAGCGGGTGAATCCCTAAAGAACCCAGCCAACGCCTTCCTTACACCTTATACAAAAATCAATTCAAGATGGATTAAAGACTTAAACGTTAGACCTAAAACCATAAAAACCCTAGAAGAAAACCTAGGCATTACCATTCAGGACATAGGCATGGGCAAGGACTTCATGTCTAAAACACCAAAAGCAATGGCAACAAAAGACAAAATTGACAAATGGGATCTAATTAAACTAAAGAGCTTCTGCACAGCAAAAGAAACTACCATCAGAGTGAACAGGCAACCTACAAAATGGGAGAAAATTTTTGCAACCTACTCATCTGACAAAGATTCTGTATCCAGAATCTACAATGAACTCAAACAAATTTACAAGAAAAAAACAAACAACCCCATCAAAAAGTGGGCGAAGGACATGAACAGACACTTCTCAAAAGAAGACATTTATGCAGCCAAAAAACACATGAAAAAATGCTCACCATCACTGGCCATCAGAGAAATGCAAATCAAAACCACAATGAGATACCATCTCACACCAGTTAGAATGGCAATCATTAAAAAGTCAGGAAACAACAGGTGCTGGAGAGGATGTGGAGAAATAGGAACACTTTTACACCGTTGGTGGGACTGTAAACTAGTTCAACCATTGTGGAAGTCAGTGTGGTGATTCCTCAGGGATCTAGAAGTAGAAATACCATTTGACCCAGCCATCCCATTACTGGGTATATACCCAAAGGACTATAAATCATGCTGCTATAAAGATACATGCACACGTATGTTTATTGCGGCATTATTCACAATAGCAAAGACTTGGAACCAACCCAAATGTCCAACAGTGATAGACTGGATTAAGAAAATGTGGCACTTATACACTGTGGAATACTATGCAGCCATAAAAAATGATGAGTTCATGTCCTTTGTAGGGACATGGATGAAATTGGAAATCATCATTCTCAGTAAACTATCTCAAGAACAAAAAACCAAACACCGCATATTCTCACTCATAGGTGGGAATTGAACAATGAGATCACATGGACACAGGAAGGGGAACATCACACTCTGGGGACTGTTGTGGGGTGGGGGGAGGGGGGAGGGATAGCATTGGGAGATATACCTAATGCTAGATGAGGAGTTAGTGGGTGCAGCACACCAGCACGGCACATGTATACGTATGTAACTAACCCGCACAATGTGCGCATGTACCCTAAAACTTAAAGTATAATAAAAAAAATAAATTAAAAAAAAAAAAAAAAAAAGAACCCAGCCAACCCGCAGAGGGTGGGGAGGGGGCAAGCTGTGAGGAGAGCGGACCCAAGAACCATGTCTACGCGTGAGTCCTTTAACCCCGAAAGTTACGAATTGGACAAGAGCTTCCGGCTAACCAGATTCACTGAACTGAAGGGCACAGGCTGCAAAGTGCCCCAAGATGTCCTGCAAAAATTGCTGTAATCTTTATAGGAGAACCACTTCCAAGAAGATGAGCAGTTTCTGGGAGCCGTTACGCCAAGGCTTGGCATTGGAATGGATACTCGTGTCATTCCTTTGAGGCACGGTGGGCTTTCCTTGGTTCAAACTACAGATTACGTTTACCGGATCGTAGACGACCCTTCCATGATGGGCAGGATAGCACGTGCCAGTGTCTTCAGTGACCTCTACGCAATGTGGGTCACGGAATGTGACAATATGCTGATGCTCCTTGGAGTCAGTCCTAAAATGACCGACAGGGAAAGGGATAAAATGATGTCTCTGATTATCCAGGGTTTTAAAGACGCAGCTGAGGAAGCAGGAACATCTGTAATGGGTGGCCAAACCATACTAAACCCCTGGATTGCCCTGGGAGGAGTCGCTACCACTGTCTGCCAGCCCAATGAATTTATCATGGCCAGCCCCAAGTTGGACCAGCAACAGGGGATGGTGTTCCCTCCTGGGATCTGTGAGGCAGCAGCTGAAGGACAGATAAATTTGAAGTTGGAGAAGACCTACACATGCACCACATCCCTAACCTGCAGAGGCCTGGAGATACAGTATTAGAGTCCAGCCCCTCTGACAACCCAGAGGTATCTACTGAGCATTTTATTCAGCAACAACGTTCATGCTCCTTAATGACAGCACGGCCGGCCAGACTCATCTTACAATAAAATTTTGAGTACAACTATACTACCAAGGGAGACACTCCTTTATTCTAAAATTATTTCAGCCATTTGGTTGCCCTCTTCAGCAATCAGTTTAAGAAATTGGGGCCAGGCGCGGTGGCTCATGCCTGTAATCCCAGCACTTTGGGAGGCCGATGCGGCGGATCACGAGGTCAGGAGATCAAGACCATCCTGGCTAACACAGTGAAACCCCATCTCTACTAAGAATACAAAAAAAATTAGCCGGGCGTGGTGGCGGGCGCCTGTAGTCCCAGCTATTCCAGAGGCTGAGGCAGGAGAATGGCGTGAACCCGGGAGGCGGAGCTTGCCGTGAGCCAAGATCGTGCCTCTGCACTCCAGCCTGGGCGACAGAGCTAGGCTCCGTCTCAAAAAAAAAAAAAAAAAAAAAGAAAAAGAAAAAGAAAAAAGAAAAAGAAATTGGAGTCAACTACATATTGATATCCAGATTCTAAATATTAAGTATCAATTTCTCATTTAATCTTAGACGTCGTGGTGGAAGGAAAAATCAGTTAGCAAATAAGCAATCCCAGAAAAAGTGTAGCTATTTGATGCCTTTATACCTTAAGACAATGTTGAACACAGTGAGAAGGATAGGTTCCTTTTATTTAATGTTTTTTACGAAAAATTAGTTTTTCACTGCGTTCCAGACCTAAATCAATATGTACTACTTTGGACATTAGCCTTGGAAGAAGGAACAGCTTTTTCTCTTCTGGCACCACAGTGTATCTGCATTTGATTTTTTCCCATTGTGCAGGAGCACCTCATGGGCCACAAAGATGCGCCTTGAGAGCACCCTGGGATGAAGCTTATTTTAAAAGGAACAACAACCAACACCACCACCAGCCCCACAGGGGCTGTCCAGTGTACATTATTCTCATCTCCTTGTGTTATGAGTGTTGGTTTTTAGAACACAGTTTGGAAAGTGCTAATTTAGAATATTAATGTCTTTATCTTTAATTTTACTTTTCATTCTGTAAACATAGCTAGCTTATAAACAATTTTGTTTCAAATGCACTAGACTTTTTAGCTAATTCAATTGTAAGTAACTTTAATTAAAAATGGCAAGTTTATACTCATTAAAAAAAGAATAAATGAAGATGGTAATTGATTGCATGATCACTAACAATAATCTTGCCATGTAAAGAAGGAGGTATTAAAAAGGATTCACTTCAAGGAGTCAATCCACAAGGTGCATCTCTGCACTTGCTGTACCCACCACTTCCTGGAACGTTCTTACCCAGATACCCCCATAGCATGGCTTACACTTCTTCAGGCCTCTGCCCAAACACCAGCTTATCCAAGGAGTCTTCCTTGACTACCACCCACCTCCATCCGTGTCTATTGTCCTAGCTGGATTCATTTTTCTTCATCTCACCAGTTTCCTGTCAAGCTGTTAATTGGTTGACTCATCACTTACTGTGTTTCTTCTTCACTAAGAGCTCCCTGTTCCCTGGGAACAAAAAAACTTCATTTTCTGTTGTTCACATGGTGAATTTTTGAATCCAGAACACTACCTGGCCTGCCCCCAAGCAGACTCTGGGGGGAAAAATGACTAGGTGATTTCTGTATCAATTACTGAATGCTTTACACTGATTTGGAATGCCACCTTTATTAGGAAAAGTCACGCCTCAATATACTTAAGGATGAAAGCTCACATTTGCAGTCTACGGAGTGCCCATATTGATGATGGGGGTTGGGGGAGAAAAGGGAAGAATCTCAGCAAATGGAAGGCCATTTTCATCAGCTGGGGGTGCAGCTGGAGCCATGGCATTCACTCCACCAGCTCTGCTCGAGGTAAGAAGCGTCACAGACCTGCCTTTGCCTTTTTCTTCCTATCTTTAAAGAAAATCCAGAGCACCATCTAGTAAGCATGTGCAGATTTCTGAGGAACCTCAGGGTTCCAGCTATAAAAAGCATTAAATACCAAAAGGAAGTGTGCTAAGCAGCTGGACACAAGACAGGACAGGAAACAATGAGGAACTTCTAGGGCAAGAAGAGCAAATCCCCTCTTAGCTGGCCACACCCTCATTCCAGCCTCGCACCATGGTGGCAATTAATAGGGACATTCACCTCGCTTTGCTCTCAGCCGTGATGCATCTGTATTAGTCACAGCTCTAAATAGAAACACTAATCTCAAAGCATATAAGGCAAAAATGAACCTGTATCTAGGTTTTCTCCTCTTTGTCATTGATCTATTTGGCCACCAAGGTTCATGCTGTTTAAATGATTTCAGATTTATTTTAAATACACTTTAAAGCTAACAGCACAAGCTTTTGCCCATTTATTTTATTTATTGTTCCTTTTCTCTGGGCTAGTTTCACTTGTTCATCCAAAATATATTCTTCAAAATAAATAGTAGAAATACCACTACAAGTTCCAAAAGAAAAAAAAAAAAAACCTCACACTATTTTGATGGAAATTGTGTTAAATGTATCTGTTCATTTGGGGAGAACTGACTGCTTTGCAATGTGAGGTCTTCCTTCCACAAGATGTGGGGGTCCCTGCATTACCACTCTCCATGAACAGCATTCCCTGCTGAGTCCAGAACTGTGCCACGAGCTGAGGCTGTTAGTGGGAAAAGAGAGCCGTGAAAAAGGAGAAAGTGCCAACCCTTCGTGTCTGGACCCACTACCATCCCTATGCCTGCCCCCTGACAAGCCCAAGCAGTCTCCTGACTTCCCACACCCCTCACCTCTGCATGATCCCTGAACTTCCTTGTGATTGTCATTGCCAGCGCAAGTCAATGTCTTCCTTCCTCATGACCTTAGGAATCTGCCCCACAGGACCCTTGACCTGTCTTGATACAACCCCCCTTCTCTGTTCAGAGCCACTGGTTTCTCTTGCCCCTCCTACACCTTTCTTTTCCAGCTGTCTTCCTTTGACTCTCCTCTTCACCTACACTGGGGCATTCACGCAGATTAACTCTTACAACTTCAAAGCCAAAATTTTGAGAGGTCACTTAGCTTGGGGAGGTGTTTTCCATAGACTCCATGAAAGTGACCTTGAACATGGGACTCAGACTCAGCAGGGAAATAGCCTCAAACAGGCACAGAAAGCCTAAAGCCCATGGCATCTCAAGGTCAGGCCCTTCTCCTTCTGACCTTCCCTCCCTAGCTCTCTGCCCTCCTCGTTCCCTTCAGAAGGGTCCTTCTCTCTCCCTCTCACCTGAAGGCTGCCTGAGAGGTGCCCTGTGAAAGTGCTTGCTTCAGCGCTTCAGTCTTTCAGGGTGAAGCGCTGAGAAAGTGTCTTTATCAGAACTTGACCTGGCTACGTCCAGCTCTGGGCAACTTCTTCACCAACCAAGTGATGTCTCTTTCTCCCTCAATATTCTCAAAATCACCAATACAGTAACACTCACACAGAGAGCCCCATTCAGAAGCTGTAGGCACAGGCCAGATGGTCACCTGGGTTTGCAGTGAACTTGTGATGTAATCAGCAGCATGGCACTGTCCATGAGGGCCACATCAAACAGAAGAAGCATAGCCGTGGCTGATGCTCCACTGTCCAGCCCGGGAGGACTGGTCTTCTTCCCGGAGGAGGGCAGTTCCTAAATTCATTCATGTTATCACTTGTCTTGTTTCCTCACATGTGTGAAATGAGATGTTTTTGCAAACCTGCCGAGTCTTAATCCTAACCCCACATATTCCTTTACAGCAAAAAGATCACCGGGCAGTCCTTCCCTTAGATGCTTCCTATCTTTGGAGTGTCCTTCAGTTCATCACGCATGTGTGGATGAGCTAATGGATGGAAGTCCCATTCCTGAGCACCCAGGGAAAAGCATGTCTTCCTCTCTGTTTCCAGAACTTCATGGGAGATTGGTGAACATTAAGTAACGTTAACTATGACCTTCTTCCAGAACAAGTTTTAGAAGGGGAAGGTATCTACTGAACATTTAACTATGCACCACGTACTCCACATTAAAATTTTCTCTGGCTTTTCAGCTTTACAAAAACCTGTAATCTCCTTCTCATCTTCTAAGACTCAGCTCAGACATCTGTCATCCAGGGAATCATCTTTGTCTCCCTTCAGTAACCTCATCGCATTAGCACTGCTATTCTCAACTCCAGGGTGCTTCTGGACCAAACCAATGTACATCTTACATATATTGATTGATGTCTCATGTTCCCCTAAAATGTATAAAACCAAACTGTACTGACCACCATGAGCACGTGTCTCCAGGACCTCCTAAGGCTGCCTCATGGGCGCATTCTTAACCTTGGCAAAACAGACTTTCTAAATTGACTGAGTTCTGTCTCAAATACTCTTGGTTTACAAGGGTCATTTCTTCTCAACACGACCTTCAGCCACTGTGTGACAGTCATGTTATACATGTGAACAAAATTTGGAGGATAGAAAAAAATGCGAGAAGAATATCAGTGAATTCTTTCCTCGTTTGGAAGTCCTCATTAGGACTTAGGGTTAGGGCACTCATCTATGGTTAACAAAATTCATATCGCTTCACTTCACCCTCATACCAGCTCTGCGTGGTCATCTGGGTAGATAAGATTATCCCCATTTTACAAATGTAGAAACTGAGACTAATGTAGATCACGGAGCCTAAGATCACCTAACTGGGCAAGAAAACCATTTGCTGCTCAGAACTCTCCCCTCTACCTCCCAAATACCTCAACTCCTGCCTTTGAGTAGCAACACTCAGCTTCGTGTCACCATAAGTGAGAAAATTTTCATGACCCAAAGTAGGAAACTCATATCCTGTTATTCCTATTGGATTTTTTTCCTTCCTAGCATTAATCATAATTTGTAATCATTTTTAACTCTTTTTGTCTGTCTCCCCAGCAGAGTCAGCAGCTCCATCAGTGCGGGTGCCATCTCTATCATGCTGGCCATTGAATTTCTGGCCCCTAGCACTGGCTCCAGAATATGAAGGATACTCCAATAAATATCCATGGCCTTCTGATTCTGAATTCCCTATCCTTTCCACTTTAATAAGCATGTTGGGAAACGATTTCTCCAAACTGTCCTACTATGTAATCCTAAAACTGAATCTTATCATTACCATTCAATCTTTAACCTGAAATGTGCACTTTTTGAGCAGATGGAATCACATCAATAATAACAGGGTTTATGCCACCAGAGTCCAAGCATTTCATGTAAATGGGCAATGCCTGATGAAATCATGATAATACTGACTAGCATTTGGGATGTGTCTGGCTGCTCTAGTTATTAAATATATCAACTAATATATAAAACCCTCATGACAACTCTGTGAGGTAGGGATGACTGTATTATCTCCATTTTATAAATGGAGAAATTGAGGGCAGGAGGTGCAGCACTGGCCCCATCCTTGGGATAACCACTCCAACAATGATCCTTCAAGGTCACGGCATCTTCCTCTGGTGCCATCGATGTGCCTGCTGTCTCCTGCTGAAAACCTATTTCTTTTCTTTTGTTTTCTTTGAGATGGAGTTTCACTCTTGTTGCCCAGGCTGGAGTGCAATGGAGCAATCTTGGCTCATTGCAACCTCTGCCTCCCAGGTTCAAGTGTTTCTCCTGCCTCAGCCTCCCAAGTAGCTGGGATTACAGCTACTAGCACCACAACCACCACCACGCCCAGCTAGTTTCTGTATTTTTTTAGTAAGGACGGGGTTTTACCATGTTGGCCAGGCTGGTCTCAAACTCCTGACCTCAGATGATCCTCCCGCCTAGGCCTCCCACAGTGGCTGCGATTACATGCGTGAGCCACCGCACCTGGCCCTGAAAACTTATTTATTTGTCCCAGTGTATGTCTTGCCTTGGAGGGCTTGAGGAAGCCACACCCCAATGGGGTTCTGAGAGTCCAGTGATTCCTGCCCCCTAACTGCCACCCTCTACTGCCACTGCCTCCTGCTGCGGCCATGGCCTCGAGCCTACACCGTTGCAGGGCTGACTGCCTCTGTGTGGTAGGGCTTCATTAGGAGAGATTCCAGTTGAAGGTTGTCTATGATGGATGGCCAGGCACAAAACGGCAGCCATAGTAAGTGATAGAGGGGCTGGCCTGCCCCCAGCTGCGGCACACTGGCCCAGGGGGTGGTGGAGGGGATCTGACAGACTGCCTCCATCTGCTAAGGTCGTCTTCACTTGTGGTCCACGCTGACCCTTCCCAGCTTCTGTCAGCCTGTGTGTGTCTCCACGGCACCTTTTCTCTGGACCTCTTGGATGCTCAGAGCAGCTCTGAAAAGACCAGGATGAGCAGGCTTTGGAGACTCCCTTGGAGCCCTCCTGCTTCGGGAACGGCCATCCTGCAGCCCTGACCAGGCACTACCTTTCCGGAGCTCCAGTCCCTCACTCCTGTCACTTGTCCTAGCCTTGCCTGCCTCTTACAAAGCCACCTCAACCTGCCTCAAATTCAAGTTACAATTATCTCCCTCTGTGTTTGCTTTCACAATGAGCAGAGATCCCTGACCTCACAGCCTGTCAGTTTTCCTCAACTGGGTTACATGTCAAATCCTTTCACCCCTCCAAGGCTCTCCCTTTCCCAGTGGGCCTTCTGACCAATCTCCACTTTTGCCTTCTTCTAAGTTGTGTGCCACACGGCGCAGGTGTCCTCACTTAAAAGGAAAAAAAAAATGTGATCATTTATCTCCTCTGCTTAAGACCCTTCATTCAAAGGCTTCCCAAGGCTTCTAGGATAAAAGCTGAAATTTTGAACCTGGTCTGCAAGTTCTTATAGCAAGTTCTCATAGCATCTCGGCCTCCTTTCCTGGCCTCAGCTTGCACTATTATCTCACACACCTCACTCCAGCCAACTGCTCTACAAAACTTACTCTCTTCATATACAAAGTTTGTCAGGGCAGAAGCTCTCTGAGGGTGAATGTCTGTTTCTGTTTGCCTAACACTTTTTGTATCCCCAGTACATAGCTAATGCCTGGCACATAGGTGTTCAACAACTGTTAAATGAATGACTGGATGACTGAATGAATAAATGAATGAGAAAAGTATAAAGTATTCCTTGTTCCAGGAGTACCAAGAGTGACCAGGGTAAGCTGCAGAGCCCAAGGCCAGCTCTGATTAGATGGGCCTCTCACTCCCAGGTACTAAACACCTGTAAGTAAGACACAATCAAATCAGAGAGGAGGCCTCAATTTTCCCAGTAGACACATGAGGCCAGAAAGAGAGCTGGTTAAGCATGAGGCATTGTTGGGGGGCATGAGTTTATATTTCTTAGAGCTATACACATCTGCAACCCCTGAAGAAGCCACCATAAGCAATGCTTTTGCACTGGCTCTTTGAGCCACTAGAATGGCCTTTCCTCCTCCTCCATGGCCTAGCCCCAGCCCTGAGAGTGGAAGAACACAAGCATTTGCAGCCTTGGAGTGTGAGCTACTTTGGGGTATGCAATGTTAGGGGTGACAGGGGACAGCTGCCGCTTCAGGTCAGGAGTGTCCTAGGGGGTTGAGCCAAGTAAGGTAGCAGGAAGTCCTGTGGTCCCCAACTTTCCCCAGCTAGGCCTGCCAATGTATCCACAGAAGTTTCTCCTCAACCAAAGCAGATGAGTGTGGTGAAATTGTGAAGCTGCAGCAGAGGGGTCACACAAGTGACCACGATGGCCTTGGAAACTTGGTTAAGATTTAGGCGGGAAAATCAAGTCGCCATGCACTGCTGTGTGGTTACTGGGTGCTGAAGGCTGAGACCACTCAGAAGTAAAGGCTGGACCCAGTCCTCGGGGCCTTGTAGTCCACCCAGCCAAAGAACCAGGGCACCAACCCCTGAGAATTTTGAGGGTGGAACATTCTGATGGCAGTTGAAGCCAACAGTTAAGGAAAGGTTCAGGGCAGGGCAGGATTCACAGTCCAGAGACGGGTACAGATACACTGGAAAGAGGGGCTTGGAGAGGGAGACAGGGCCAGGCAAGACTGCTGGGGAAAGAGAAGAAAAGTGATGTGGGGCACAGAGGCCTGCTAAAGATATGAAAGAAAAGATGAAGGCCTGGGGCACCCAAGGGGCTAAGAACCCAAAGGGACCAAGGAACCAGAAGGCAAACTAATCACACTATGGGTCTTTTGGGGGGCATCCAGCCTGGAGAAGAGCAGCCCAGCCACCTTCCCCGCCACCGAGTAAACAGGCTCGTTGGCTCAAGGGGCAGGAGTCATGGCTGTCTCTGTGTGTTCATTGGGTATTACGACAACAAAAAGTCTTGGTGCACACACTAGAACAAGTTTCAAAAACTAAACGCACTCATTCACTCATTCATTCAACAAATACTTATTGAACACCTGTGAGCTGGATGTTAGGAATATAGCAGCAAGAAGAAGGACAGTTCATGCCCGATGAGAAGTGCAGATAATCCTAGAATACTTATCTGTGACAGGCGTTATAAAGAGACAGTGCATACACTGTGAGAGCTTAAAGCCCTGATCTAGTTTAGGGCTCCTCTATGAACAATGGAGCTGAAATCTGAAAGACATACAAGAGTAATTACCTAGTTGAAAATGGGGAGGATGAGGAGTAAGGGCAAAGGCATTCTAGGTAGAAGGAACTGCATGAGCAATGCCTCAGTGCTGAGAAGGAAGGAGTGTGGCATATTCGAGATGCCAACAGCCAACAGGCCAATGGGCAGGCATGAGCCAAACCGTGCATGCTCTTGGAGGTCACGTCCAGTATTTATTTTTGAAGTTGATGTTGAATTGTTCTGGTCTTGATGCTGAAGGCAAAGGCACAAGTAGCCAATGGCAAGGCCAAAGCAGGGGCCAAATACAGGAGAAAAAGACGAGCATATGTGAATTCATAGGCAGGACCATGCACTTAGGGGATCATGTGCTATAATCCAGCACTGTTGAAGAATCTGCACTCTTTCCCTCTGAATTAATTATACAGAAAAAAATATCAGGCATCTCAGGCACAGAAACTTACTAAAGGTTAAATTGTGGTTGCACCAATGACAGACATTAACACAGTTTTGTTGTGTATGTATGTGTATGTGTGCACAATTCTCCTAACCAAATCTACATATGGATGTAAAAGAGATGAATATTACCTCCTTTTGTAGAAGAGCTAAGGCTTACAATGGTTACATGGCTTGTCAAAAGGGAGAGACAGAATAGAGACTAGAAACCACTTTCTAGCTTGTCTCACAACATGCTTCTCTCTAAATAACAATGTTTGGAACCACTATTTGATAAGAAAATGAAAGTCAGATAAATTAGCCCCCCAAAATCCATGCCTGTATGCTTATGAAGTAGTTGGATAATATATCAAAAGGGTTCCACCCTGAGTTTGCAACTAAGGCTATTAAATACTAGATAATTTACCAATCTTCAGACTGAAGTGATTTACTTAAAGCACGGAAATTATCAAAATCATAGAAGGAAAAATAAAAGAATAATTGGAGAGGTCATGAAGTAAATGATAATGATATAAAGTCACCCAAGGAGTATTTGGATATGCAATACTGATTAATGCACATGTACATTATAGAACTTGAAAAAATGATGGTGAAATGTATCTAGAAGGCAGAATTGTCAGATGTATCACAGAACTGATGCTCTAGCCACTCCAGACTACAGAACAGAACGTGAGAACACTATTCAAGCCATATCAAAATGGGTTCGAAAGGGAGGAGAGGGGATTACCAATGGTTTGGAAAAGAGAATCCAAGAAGTACAGACATGTCAGCTTGTGAACAAGCTGCTCCTACCCCTGGGTCCCCCCCGCTGGCTCCCACTTACCAGTCTACTCACACACCCCCCCCCTCAAAATGCCTCCAACCCTGTCACCTGCCAGAGCGTCTCAGGAAAGCCCGGCTCCAACTTCCGCCATGACAAGCTCTCCAGTGGTTCCCCTGCCCCTGGCCTCACGCAGCCCAGTGTGAGGCATATCACTGTCCCTCTCCTCTGAGCTTCTGACAGCCTCACCTAAATCCAGCCAGCTGCACTTCTTTCCCTCTTAACACTCAACTCTCTTCCTCCAGCCTGCACCCACTAGAAGCAACACTATCCCAAGGAAATGAAGATTCCATGAATCATGCATGCATCAAGCTTCTAGGTCATAGATCCTCTCAACCCAGGAACTTCTTGTGGGATCCCTCTAAGAGGGTTCATGGTGATCTCTCATCTGATCTCAGAAGCTAAGCAGGGTTGGGCCTGGTTAGTACTTGGATGGGAGACCAAAATGAACTGGACTCAGCTGTGATGCTGCTGCAGTGTGACAATGTTCTCTGCCTTGTTTTAAAATATATAGAATTTGAACTGATTTGAGGGGCCCCTCTGCACCTGCAACCACGCTCTGTGGAGACTTCCAGGAGTCTGGCTGCTCTGCTGTGTAGGGAGGTTTTGCTCCCAGCAGAGCCTCAGGGAGGACAGGCTAGGTGTGCACAGGGCTGAGGCCACATCCCTCTCCATAGCTGTCCTCTCTGAATCTCATTTCCACCCACCTATTCTCTTTTCCTTGTCATTTACAAGATTGAAGGGCTAATGGAGGATGAGCCCAGGATCCATGTGGCAGCTCTGCTGAGAAGAGAATGGGCAGGGAGAAGCCTGCACGTGGCAAAGAAACAGAAGGGTGGATCCTGCTCCCGGGTGGAGCTGGCACGGCCCCTCTCCCCAAAACAAGCACAGTAGCCTGCACAGACCTGGGCACCAGCCTTTGCCCACCTTCCCCCTGCCAGGCAGAGGACCCCATGAGGCCCACTGGCCCAAAAGACCCTCAGTGTTGGCAGGACAGCATTTCCGGGGGCATCACAGCAGCAGCACTTCCCGCCTGGAGCCACCTGTGTCTTCTTAAAGGCTATTCTTAATTTTCTGCTTCCTTCCCACTCTTCTTTCAAAACACGTGTGTGTGTGTGTGTGTGTGTGTGTGTGTGTGTGCGCGCGCGCGCGCAACCCAGGGCACAACAAGCATTTTAGTTATGAATGGAGTCTGTTTTGAGTAATTTCTCACATCTAAATGCTACATTCTTCTACATGTCATATTGAAAGAAACCCCACAGACGCTCTAGGGAAACCTTTTTTACTCCTCACACTGTCAACCACAAACAACCAAACACATGCCCAGTTTTGGGAATTCACAAAGGGCCTTCAGACAATTCAAACTGCTTGTCAGACAAGTAGGTAAAATTTAGAATTAGTAAGGGACAAGGGCACTTACTTACCACTATCAATTGTTAAAACCTTCCCTGGGCTTAGTTTAGTAAATCAAGCACTTGTTTTCTAAGCATAGTCTATGGAATAGGTACCATTTTAAATTTTGAAAAGTACGAGAACCTTATCCTAGGTATATGTATGTGTGTGTGTGTGTGTGCACAAACAATATAATTGTAAAACTGAACACATAAATATCTTTATCTCCCTTCCAGACATGTTCTAGCAGAGAGATGGTATATTACTCCCTTCTCACGCTGCTAAGAAGGAATACCTGAGACTGGGTAATTTATAAAGAAAAGAGGTTTAATTGACTCACAGTTCCGCATGGCTGTGGCGGGGGGGCGGCCACAAGAAACTTAACAATCATGGCAGAAGGACCTCTTCACAGGACAGCAGGAGAGAGAACGAGTACCAGCAGGGGAAATGCCAGATGCTTATAAAACCATCAGATCTTGTGAGAACTCACTCACCATCACAAGAACAGTATGGGGGAAGCAGCCCCCTTCATTCAATTACCTCCCGCCGGATCCCTCCCACAACACATGGTGATTATGGGGATTACAATTCAAGATGAGATGTGGGCGGGGACACAGACAAACCACAGGAGATGTGTGAAGATTGCTTGTGGCTTATCAGTGGTCCCTTTCTGCCTTAAGGGTGATGGAATCAAAAAGAACTTCTCCATCCTTGGCTTTGATATTTCAGGCGCACAAACAAGGCCTCATTCACCCTTCCCAGAGCTGATCCACTGGCGTGATTTGCTCTAATGCCAACATCACCACCCCTCCCCAGAGGCCCTGCCAGCCTCTACTCTCCCAGGAAGTCAGCCCCACTCTGCTGGCTAGTCCTGGCTCTCTACTGTCTTTCTGGGCCCATCATGGCTCCCTGACCACCCAACTCTGAAACAATCTCCCGGTCCAGGGCATCCCAGGAACCAGGTCATTGATGGAGCCGCTATTTGGCAGTTGCAGGTGGGGCAGGAATGGTATGGGGAAGTAGAGGCAGAATGAAATGGCCTGGAAGAAGTTACCCTTTTTGGATGAGTTCAAAACCCCTAGGGCTGATGCACCCAACCCCTGCTCTGTCATTCGTGACCTGCTCTTTCTAGAGCAAAATATCATGGGATGGGAGGGCCCTCTGAATCTTTTCCTGTGAAGTTGACTTTGATGATATGTTGGTCCTTTTGTCAAGCCTGAGCTGCTGTGGTCTGATGCTGAGTGTCTCACCTGTAACATCTCAGCACATAACACTCCACAGTGAGAGCCTTCCTTCTGCCCCTGGGAGGGAGAGCTTTACAGAAGTATTTCCAAGCAAATTTCCAGAAGGCCTCAAAGTAAGCAGCAGAAGCCGCTGCTGGTGTCAGCAGCAAATCAGCACTCAGCTTGAGGCCTCCCAGCCTGCCCCGGGAGGGGCACGGCTCGCAGCCTTTGCACTCTGGGTTCTTTCCAGGGAGGATCCCATGGGGCACTTCCAGGAAGGAGCCCCTGCTGCTTTCTCCAAAGAGCTCTGCTTCGGGTCTCTAAGGATTGGTTTTATCTGCAGAGAAGCTAAAGGAAGGAATCTACTGGTCCCCTAAGGACCTGATGACACATGCACAGAGATCCCATCTCTCTTTTCATTCCCTGAAGTAAGGGAGGCAATGAAGCCATACGTGTACCACAAAGAGTGTGAGAAAGAAGGAACTCTCCAGCCGGGGTCTTTCTCTGAGTCATTTTTCAGTCGTAGGGTACAAAAAGCTCCAGGTTATATTCAAGGTTTTATTTTTTCCAGAGTATCTTCGGGGAAAAAAAGTATATCTGAAAATCACAGAAATTCTTTTCTTTCAAGGTAAATTAGAGGATTTGAAGGGGCAGTGCTGGATGATCTCTGGGTTCCCCTCTAGTCCAACACCCAGACTCTGAGATTGCTTCCCTGTGGGAGCTCGGCCTGGCCTCCTTCCATGGGCGTTTCTTCCAACGTGGAGGTTTGTCAGTGGCGTGCCTGATGGCCAGGGCCAGATGCTGTTCTTCACACCAGAACGTCATAATTTAAAATGTCTATGCTCTGAAGCAAGAAATCAGAGCTTCAAACCTAAAACTTGTAGGATTTACAAAGCAGTTTCATTCCACCAACATCTATTGAGTACTCATTATGGGCCAGGTACAGAGATGAGAAGTGGGTCTGAGAACAGTCCCTGCCCCCAAGTAGTTCACAAATCTCATTGTGAAGAGGCAGGCACAGAAAATCTATCCATCTGGTAGCGGCCAACCCAAGCCAGGTAGGCAATACTTTCCCTCATAGAGTTAGAGGGTAGTTTAAAGAAACTGCCACCCAGAGGGAACGGCGGTGAGGTTTTAGGAATTATGATTCCTTTCCTAAATTTCTTTGCTATTTGTTATGAGCTACACAAATGTTTATACACAAGTCTTAAAGTTTTGGCTGATTAGAATATTTTCAATAAAGAGAGAATTTCTACTTAATGGGCACCATGTATGTTATTTGGGTGAGGCATATCCCAGAAGCCCTGACTTCACCACTACACAATCTATGAGTGTAACAAAATTACGCTTGTACCCCATGTATTTATATAGATTTTTTTTTAAAAGAGAGATAGGGAATTTAGATTTAACAGTGAAAAATATTTGAAAAGTTTCCCTTTGGTTCCCTTTTTCTTTTCTGAGAATACAAAACAAACAGCATACAACTGGCAATTATCTTTTTGCACAAAGGACTGGAACGAAATGAAGTTTGCGTTGCACATGTTTTGTGAGAACTAGTTCACTAAAGCACTGTCAACTACAGAACCCTGTTGAAATGGGGACAGGCGTGTTTATGCAGAAATTTACAAGAAATTTATTTCTAGCTCTGAAAAGAGGGCTTAAAAAGTAAATTCAAATGGAACTAGGGAAAAGTCGGCCTCTTTTAAGAAAGCAAAGGCTTTCATGGCTTTGCTTGGATTAAAATTTGAAGATATCAAATCCAAGTCATTGTGATGTACGAGTGATGGTTCCTGCCCAGGGTTCAAGGGTGTGTGTCAGGGCAGGCATCACAGATCCTTGAAGGTCATAAATGTTTTCTGCCATTTTCTTTTGTTGCTTTTTCTTTTTTCTTAATTAGGCCCAAGTAATAAAGATGTGAGTCCAACCTTACTGTATTTCAGAATCCTGACACTAGAACTAGAAAGTTCAAAGACCCAGCTCCCTGCGTGCCTTCTCTGGCCTCACAGTCCCCAGTTCTTCCACTCTCATTTCAGGATTCCTCTTGCTGTGCTCCCTCTAAGCCTCCGGGAAGCTTCAGGCTTCTGCCCTCCTCACCAGGACACATACATGTTCTGTAATCCTACTCCACAAGTCCCTGCTGGGGCTGGCCTAGAAGTCCTTTTCAAGGAGCCCTAGGCCCTCCAAACCGTATGGCTTTCTTCCTCTACCTTCCTCCTCACTCCAATTCCAGAAACAGCTCTCTCCTCCCTTCCCCTTCCACAGCCTGGATGCCAAGGCCAGTCTCCCCTTCTCTCCCCACATGCAGCCATCAGTCACAATGAGGCTGCCACCCAAGAGGCCTTCGCAGCCGCCCCTGAACATGGGACAAAGCCTTACAAGCTGCTCTTATGAGAAATGTAGTGTATCTGATTTGGGAAGCCATCTCCCTCCCCACATTCATTCCCCAATGATTGGAAACAGCCCCCACAGGAGCCTCTTGATCCCAGCTCCTGGATCTGCAACTGTTCTGTTGTTGCCACCCTCTCTGTTAGTTCCTGTTCTTGCCACCCTCTCTGCCCAGCAAACCAGGCCTCCTCCTGCTCAGCAGCACAAACTTTGGGAAAGCATCACCGGCCATTCAAGTGGAAGATTCTCTGGTGGCCCCTGCTGACTGCAGTCTTACACATATGCCTCATCTTTCTAGAAGGAAGGAGAAACAGGAAGAAGACCCCATCTGAGACAGCACTGCCTCCTCTTCACAGCTTGCAATGGTCACGCAAAGGATCTGTCAGCTGATGATGTTTCTCAAATGAAACTGGGTGCTAGTAGGCAAAGGAGCTCTCTGCAGGGAGGTCCCTGCCGGGACTATGAATGCCTTAGGATCTGGGATGGGCAATCCCACTAGCACACAGAGAGGATTCTGTGTATGAGGATAACATGCCAAGCAAGGGAAACTTGACGACTTGGGGAGCCTTCGTGCAATTGTATAAAAAGAAAACAGAAAATCAGCCAGACTAGAATTCTCAAAAGAAGGCTTTCTTTTCTGCAGAAAGTAGACTATCACAGAACAGAGAACAGAAACTGGAAAGGCAGTCACAGACTCTCCATCTCTCTCTCCTCTGCCTCTCTGGGCCTGCAGGTCTTCTCTCGGGTCCCCTTTGTCCAGAGCTTCATTTCCTTCTTCTCAGAGGATTTGTAACTTTTCAAGGCTCTTTTCTCCACATTTGCAATCTTGGGGAGGTCACCTCTGCCCTAGCAGACGACAGAGCACAGCAGTCTAACCACAGTCTCTCAAACTCTTCAATGAGGAATGGCACAGCTGTGGCCATCCAATAGATTCCTTACCCCAACCCAGGATCAAATGTCCAACCCGTGTCCAATCAACGGAGAACAGGAAAGCAGGATCCCTTGGTAGGGACGCGACCTACATGGTGTAACCAAGAAGAGGCACTCCGAGACAGGGAGCTCACCTGTGACAGTGACACGGGAGGAGGACAGGGAAGTGCTGGGTAAAGAAGGCTGGGGTCCCTGGCGAGGGCTCCACCCTCAGGCCTGTGCCCACGTACCTAAGTGAGGACAGGCACTCCTGTTTTCGAGCTCAAATGTTGCGTTTTCCAAGATCACTCTGGCCCACCACACACCCCCATCCCGTGCCTACAAAAACCCCGAGACCCTAGTGGACCCAGACACAGGCAGCTGGACGTTGAGAGGAGCAAATGACAGGAAGAGCACACCGACAGGCACCGGCAGATGCCGGCAGGCAATGGATGGCGGGTGACATGGAATTCAGCTGGGGGCAGTCAGGGGAGAGCCCAGCCGCTGGACAGCCCGACTCCAGGAGAAGACCACCTTCCCACTCCGTCCCCCTTCTGGCCCCCCATCCACCTCACTGAGAGCTAGCTCCACTCAATAAAACCTTGCACCCATCCTCCAAGCCCACATGTGATCCAATTTTTCTGATACACTGAGGCAAGAACCTGGGATAGAGAAAGCCCTCTGTCCTTGCAATAAGGCAGAGGGTCTAATTGAGTTGATTAACACAGGCCACCTGCAGACGGCAAAACTGAAAGAGCACCCTGTATCACACACTCACTGGGGCTTCCGGAGCTGTAAACACTCAACCCTAGATGCTGCCACAGGGTCAGAGCCCAAAATGCTGCCACAACTTGTCCTGCAGGCTCCCCCTGAGGGGTGTGAGCAGCAGGGCACCGAAGAAGTGAGTCACACCCCTGTTGCACGCCCTGCGAGGGGGATAAGGGAACTTTTCCCGTTTCAGTAGGGTAGAGCTGAAAGCATTGTGTAAATTGCCAAGCGCTGTGTCACCATGGGACCAACACCACCGGCAGTGTATGGTAGCACCCGCAAGTGCGGCAGAAGTCACAGGCAGAGAAAGGAGAAGCTGCTGGGATGAACTGCCACTGAGAAACCATGAGGTCTGAAGACTGCAAAAAGGCCACAAAGACCCAGTTCAAAGAAAGTTTTGGCCGTCTTTGATTATTACAGCTTCTTGCAATAGGCATAAAAGGGAAAGAGAAACAGAGGAGCCAGCCACTTTGTCGCTTGAAGCCACTTAAAGACAGAAAGGAAAGGGTGAACTGGGAGGATGAGTGGGAATTTTCTTGAGAAAAAGGGAATTGGAATGAAGATAAGAAGTGTGAGACGCCAGGTCCTTTCAGCGCTACCACTGTCCAGGGGGCCCAGGAACACAGCTCCCGAGCCAGGAGGAATGGGGTGGAGGTCTGAGCCTCCGCTCTGCAACTCACCAAATTCATGGCTCCACTCTGTGCCTCAGTTTCCTCTTCTGTAAAGCAAAAGCAGCCCATGTTTTACAGGAGTGGTAGAAGGATCATACATGTCTCTTGCTCAGCCCGCATTGAGTTAATGGTAAGGGTTTACTATATGGGGCCTATAGAGAGAGAAGTGCAGAAGTTTCCCCTACAAGAAGTGGTTCCCCCTTCCAGGCACAAATCACACATGCTGATTTTCTCTCAGACCTTACCACTCTTTGTCTCAGGTTTTAGTTTCTTTAAGTAACTTCCCAGCTCGCCATCTGGCTGGACTGGACAGGAGGGTCCTATCCTATTGGGGACCCCAGTCCCAGACAGAGGTGCAGTGCCAAGCACACAGACAAGGCAGAGTCACTTGCCCAGCCTTGAAAAGCTGATCCAGATGGGAGACTGAGGGGGATGACTTCTGAGCCCCAGCATTGTCTGATCACTGCTTGCATGCTGCTCCGAGCAAGGGACACCAGGTCAATGGGCCTCAGTGTCCTCATCTGTAAAATGAGAGGCTTGGTCTTCATGTACTCCAGAGGCTTCTCTTGGAAAAGCTGGAGAAGAGGAGTCATTTTCCTCTAGAGTTAATAAACTCAAAAGTTTGGGAAAGGTGCACTCATGGAAATGCCCATTTCAAAGGGGTCAGTAGGTTGCCAGAAGTGGTCAACAAATTTGGCCCCTACATCTCTGAGTAGCTCTGTAGTTTAAAAAATCAAAAGCGCACACACACATACACACACAAAAGCCCTCATTCTTCACCTGAAGCAGGATATGGGGCTCCAGACTAAGAGGGAAGCAATTCAGAAGAGAAACTGGCTCTTCTTTTTCCTCCTTTCTGAGCTCTTTCCTTTCTTGGTGAGCCAAATCCAAATGCCCTGGTCTCTTCAGTAATCCTTTACCTTGAGGAAGTGGCCAAGAAACCTCTCGCCCATCACTGGCACCTGTGCTTTGGAGGGTGCACCTCTAAATCTTACAGAGCCTGGACCAACGCTGGAAGTTGAGTTTGCAAACTTCAACTCAACCAACAGCTACGAAACTCCTACTTCATGTGGGGTGCCATTCTCTCCTTAAAGAGGCCTTGCCCAGACAGAGTATATGATTGCCCTTCCACCTTGCCTCCTCAGCCTTGGCCATGTACCAGTCCACCAGGCTGGTCCTGGTGTTCTGTCCGCATGGGCTGCCATGTCTGCCATCTCTGCTAGACTGTGAGCTCCTTGAGGACAGGAAGAGTGTCTTCCTCTCTGCCCCTTACAAACATGCACATTTTCAGACAGCTTACCCGGAGATGACTAACCCTTGATATGTGTTTTAATTAGGTAATTGGCTTTGGGAAATAGTAGATAGTGGGTACCACTCACAGAACTAAGAAACACAGAAAGGAAGATTTGAGGGGTGAAGACCATGAGTTGACTTGGTGGCACTGAATTTGATTTGCCAACTGAATGGCTAGGTGAAAGGATGCAACAGGTGAAGGAACCCAGAGATGCAGGGGAGGGCTGAAGCTCAGGGGGACTGTTGGGAATATGTTTGAGGTGACCAATTTATCGGGTAAGCACAATGGACATATATGAGATGAGCCTAGAGGAGGAGGATTACCAGGGCACGAGGCTATTCTTCTGGAGAAGTCCATCTCTCAGAGGACAAATAAAGAAACAGGAAGAAGAAGCAGAGAAACAGATATTGACCAATCAGAACTCAGCTGCATCAACCAATCAAAACTAAGAAAATTTCGGTCCTTCCATTGTATACACAGACCTGACTGAGAGTCTCAGAGGTATTGTGGAAGAAAATGGAGGCGAGAGTTTCAAGAAGGAAAGGCTGGAAATTGCAGCAGAATCTTTAATACGGTGGTTTTGAGAGAGGTGTGGAAGGCAAGGGCAGGCCAAAGCCATACGAAAGGGTCACACCAAGAGTCAAGTTCTGCCAATAAACTGAAGAGTGCATGAGGAAAACTGATGTAGCAAAGATTTCTCATGAAAAGCACCTGAGCCTTAGCAAGCTGTCTGTTTTGCAATCTGGAAAGTAAGATTTTCCACGCTATAAGCACAAGTTAGCGAAGGAACAAAGGGTTGATATTTTCCAAGACTTCTTTAAACTCCTTGCTCTAGCACCCCTCCCCCATTCAAGTATGCTGTTTATCTTATAGGAGAAGAGCTAACAGTAACAAATTCCATTATGGAAAGGCTCCACAAAAGGGCAAATTAGGACTCAAACACCCCTCCGGCTTTGTGGCCGGTTGCATAGAGTACAATCGGGTGCGTGGTGCTGAAGTGCGCCCCCGTCCGCCCGCCTACAGACAAAATGGACTTTCTGTGGCTAACTGAGGTGTGCAAAGTTAAAACAGAACCAGGTGACCACAGCTGGATGAGGGAGTGGCC